>NC_000006.12:164767759-164919274 GCF_000001405.40 Homo sapiens
GGCTTAATGTATGCTAGGACTCTATTCTAGGTCATCAGAGAGGCTACATTGTCAAAATAAATAGGAGGATATTGGTGAAGTCCGTGAAGTGACCTGTGAACTTATATCCCCGCCCCTCTGAGTATGTCCTTTCAGCCTGAGGCATTAGGTGGTTTCAGTTATTTCACGGCCCAACGTGTGACTCTCTGACTCAAGGGAGTTAGAGAAATTGAGCGGCTTTCCTGGGTCTCCTGGCCTGCGTGTGGCAGGAACTGGGTAGCAAGAAACCGAGGCCTGGATCCAGCCTCCTGCACCCTGCCAGTATATGTACGTAGGGATCTGATGGGCCAGTTTTGACTTGGTGGGTTATATAAAACAGACATGGCCCATTGTAGATTTATAAATATGTATAGAAAAATAGAAATATCAAATGTTGTTCAAAGGAAAAGAAACCTGAAACTAAACAGAGTTGACATAGGCAGTTGTTCCATCTTTTGGCTGATCAGAGCACTCTTTGTATCAGTATCTTTCAGAAGTATCTGGTTTTCCTTCACAAAACATTCGTTCTCATTTTAATTTGTTGCTTGTAGTTTGCATTAAGTCATATTTTAATTCATTTTATGTGTCATTTACCTAGAAAATTATTAATAAGAAATAACCACAGCAACTAAATAACAACTGATAGCTTTTGGACAGGCTTAAATAAGTTTTGAATAACTTCTTGATTGCTACTGTAGCTAAAATACGTGTTTTGTGAAAAATACACATTATATTATTGTCAGGGTAAGAAACTGAGATAAATTATAGGTAATTTCCATTTTGTAGTACTGTTTCTATGGTTATATAAGCAATTTATGTTATTTCAGTATTTGTTACCATGGTTATTTCAGGTAATTCCAGGTTAATAAAATTAAAATGGTGTGGGGTTTTTTGTTTGTTTGTTTGTTTTGTTTTGTTTTTGGTGATGGTTGTTGAGTAAAACTGTTCATGTGGAAAGAAAGAAATATCCCTTATTGGTAAAATCGAGTATTTCACTTAGTCGTGGTACTGGGTGACTGGAGGAGAGTAGAAGAGTGGGCACCTCATTCTTATTAGGAACCCCCTCCACTCCTCTCCCACCCTTAGACAACTGTGAGACCCAGGCATCTCGAGCAGCTCCAGTTAAGCTCTTGCACATGATGGGCTGAGCCACGATAACAGATGGAAAATACGCTCTAAATCCTAACATTCCCTCAGCTGCTTCATATAAAAAGAGTGACAGAAAAATTAATGACTGCGAGCTCAGAAACAGAAAGTACTGTCCAGATGCTTGTTTTGTTGTTGTTGCTGATACTGTTTCTATTGTTTATTCATTTTTCTCTTGTTCTCCTCTGATGGACACACGGGCTGACATAAACTTAAAGAGGAGATACGTGTATTGGAGTAGATGCCCGAAATGACTTTTTAAGGTGTGATGGTGGGCAGGGAAGATACCTTTAGTACAGGATTGATGCGCCAAGCCTGCCAGGGAAAAGGGAGTGGTAGAAACCCCACTGGAAGAGCAAGGGCATCCTCATGGGCAGAGCAGCAATGTCCAAAGCTCATGCTACGCTGGACTTGGCCGACGTCTAGGGGGACTAAGTTTCTTCTGGCCAGTTAGGGACCCCACTGATTAGGCATGTGACCTTCATTTGACTTGGCAGTAGTCTCTAAAAAATCTGAAACTAAACATCTGGCCCTCCCCTGCAGAGCCTTGTGAGGTGAGTGGAGAGAGAGAGACGTCATTGGAATTTTACAGCATAAATATTGAGTGGCTTTATCTTAGTTTTTTTCTCATTATCTTTTTCTCACTTTTCTTACCTCCACAGTTTCTTAGTTTTCCTTTCTTGCCCTCCTCATCCATCTGATTTAAATTTTACATTTTGTTGTCTCATATGTATTTCTGTTAAGCTCTGATAAACCATTATGGGGCAGAGTATGGTATGAGTTAATAAAAGTAATAGAAGTTAGGAACCATTATTGCAATGACAGTATAAAAGTAGAATAAGAACTGCACATACTGCATATGCGTACACATGTTCAAGTGTGCACAACACTGTTTCAGCTAAAAATCTATATCTGTATATCTACATTCACATCTATCTTTTTAAAACGTGTGTGTTATTTGAGCGTTTGTAAATTAAATAATTGCTAAAAGCATCATGTTATTACATATCTAATTTTGCCCATCTTACATAAATACCAGGATTCTCCAGTACAATTCATAATCTAACAAAATATCTTATTGGGAAACCATAAAACCAATTCTACGTCTCTTAATGCCAACACCAGTGGGGTACATATTTTAGTAGGTATGAATAATGTGTCCACTACATTCCAGCAAATGTATGCTACTGAATCTCCAGGAAAATTTTTAGATAATGTCTTATTTTCCTTTTTTCCTCCCTATGGAGACAGGAAGAAGTTTTGATACAAGGGAAGGAAACAATCCTCAGACAAAAAAAATACCCAGTTCAACTTACTATGCAGATCAATTAGAACAATTTAACTGAATTTTCTGCCTGTCTCTTCATGTACAAATAGCTCCTGTTCAGAGATCCTCACAATTGCTGTGAAATTCAAAGCAAGAAAGTAATTTTTCATGACCTGTAAGCACATACAATACTAGCATAAGAAAGAAAAATACATTTTTTCTTTCCGAATAAATTAAACACATCTGGATAAAACCACTTTCTACTCCACAAAAGAACTTGGAAAGAATATATTTGGATTGTTTAGTGGGATTCCCTTTCCACAACACATTCAAAGAGTCTCTTTCTCTCCTTTTTTTAAAACCAGGATTACTCTGTTTTAGACCTGTCATTCTTCCATGTTGCTAACTTGACAAACTCGGTCTTTAAATACGCAATTGAATCAGCCTGTTTCAAGAAATATTACACAGAGCATATCAAAGCAAACACAATTCCAGCTCAATTTTAATAATGCTTTTACTTTACTCTAATTATAAAGTATGTTCAATGGCAGTTTCAAAATTAAATGAAAAATTTTTACATGACATCTTAGCACCCATAGGATAATTGAAAAGGAAGGTTGGCTGAGTAGATTAGGATATGAAAGCGAATATGTCAAAAGAATTTTTGTTTAAAGAAATGAAATCTATTTTCAATCTGGGGAACATATGGCAGAAGAATCATAGATCTGGAAGAAAGGGACATTAAGCATTCAACAGGTACAGCTCTATAGTATGGAAGAAATTTTACAGCAAGAACAACTGCAACGAGCAAGAGGCTCACATCGCCTCCTTGAGCCTGAGTAGGATCCTCCACATTCTTCAGATCGTTATACAGAAGATCTCTCTTCAAATCAGGGCAAAAACATGACATTCAGTTTCGGCATTATTGCGTTTACTGCTCAATGCATTTAACTTTACTCGTTTTATCGACATTCTCTCTGAGACTCCTTATTTTGCCCATAACTGCAGTAGGTTGGCCATACTTACGTTAGTAATGTGATGTTGAAGGTTCAATGCAGTCACTTGACCTGGAGTTTGGGGTGAAGATAAACCACAAGGATTATTTATATTACCAGCAGAGTAGCCCTGATGAGACTATGTGACTTCCTTCTAAGTAAGGATTCCAGATGTCCCAATCAAGATGATCAATAACATTAAAAATGAAATAAATTACCATATTCATTAAATATATGGAAATAGCATATTCATTTATTTTACTAAAAATGAAGTGGATTAGCATATTCTTAGTAGTTATTTTAAGATTAGATATTAAGAATTTAATTGCTCAGTTGTGGCGAATGTGATGGACCCATCCCCTCAATTAATCCTTTTTCTTTTTTTTTTTTTTTTTTTGAGACAGATTCTCACTCTGGTGCCCAGACTGGAGTACAGTGGCGTGATCATAGTTCACTGCAGCCTCAACCTCCTGGGCTCAAGTGATCCTCCCACCTCAGCCTCCCATGTAGCTGAGACTACTGGCGTGTGCCACTATGCCCAGCTAATTTTAAAATTTTTTGTAGAGATGGAGTCTCACTATGTTGCCCAGGCTGCTCTCAGACTCCTGACCTCAAGTGATCTTCCTACCTCAGCCTCCCAAAATACTGGGATTATAGGCATGAGCCACCACATCCAGTCTAACTGTTCTCATTTTAACAAAAGTTGTTTTTATGTACAAAGTGAAATTAATTTTAAATATTTTCTAACCTAACGTATACTAATTATTAGTAGAGATACAAAATGAGGATTTGTAATATGCCAAATTTTATTTTCTTTTATTATCACAAAAAACACACCAGATAGATATGTTTCTTTTCATATTTCAAAGGTAGGAAAACAGTCATCGAGGAGCTACCTACCCCCAGGTCACCTGCCATACGTTGGCAAGATCCAGGCCTTCAACTTATATTCTGTGTTTTTACAGAAGTTTTTTGTAGTATTGCTACATGTCAGTAGCCCTTAATCATTCTAACCTCTGTAACCACACTATTAAAATTTATTGAGTCCACCAAGAACTTTGGTTTATGTAAGATATATCAATGACTTTACGATATCAGAATTTAAAATGAGAAAAACTTAAAATATGTATTTAGTCATTGAATAATAATAAATAGATTACACGTTAACAAAAATAATATATCTTCTGATACCTATGCTTCTCAAAGCAAAATATTATTGAGAAGGGGTCATTCTTTTAAAGTTTTTACAAATGTCTTTAATATCTGACTTAAAAGAAGACAGCTGAATTTCCATGTCTGCTTCTGCATTCAATGTAGTGCAATATATTGCTTTTGTTACTATATATACTAAAAATAACGGGCGTCACACAGATACATTTTTGGAAAAGGAAGGAGTATTATATTTGTCTTTCTAGATAATTGTGATGTGTATCAATAACCCAAAGTCAATAGCAGTTTCTTAAAGGTTAGTTCCTGAAGGAGTGGCTCACAACCCAGCACTTTGGGAGGCTGAGGTGGGAGGATTGGTAAAGGCCAGGAGGTTGAGACTGCAGTGAGCCAAAATCATGCCACTGAACTCTTGCACTCTAGCCTGGAAGACAGAGACAGACTCCATCTCTTAAAAAAAAAAAAAAAAAAAAAATTAGTTACAAATATAGAATCTTGAACCATAGCAGTAAACCCTGTACACTTGTGAGAGAGTAAGAGGAACCTCTGCAAGTCCATTGCATTTACTTCAGGGGTTCTCAGGTCACATTTTAAAAACCATTAATATTTGATATTAAATAATATTTGTGAGTATGATTTTAATGACTATATAATATCTTAAGAATAAATCTCCCATCATGATAATCCTCCACTTACTATTTATATTCTAGATTTTGTTTATATAAATAATTTCATACTTTTTAAAATATTTCTATTTATGGTAGACTTTTTTTAGGTAGTGCTAATGAGTGAGTATGGATCTTGTAAGGCATTACTGCATATGATCAAATTTCTTTCCTAGCTGTTACAGTCAGTCTTGCTATGAGTATTCTTGCACATCAAGTGAACTTTCTGTTGAGCATGTACCTCATGATATAATTGCTAGGTCATGGATTTACTCATGTTTCACATTAATAGATACTTCCCAACAATCTTCTAGAGTAGTTTTCCCAGTTGACCCTCCCATTAGCATTATAGGACAGTTCTAATTGCATCAGCTTCTTGACACACTTGGTAATTTTTTTAGTGTATTTTCCATTTTACCTAATATGGTAGAAGTGGAATTGTATCCCATTATGGTTATCATTTTCATTTCCCTGATGACTCACAGATGAGCAAATTAATGTGTTTATTGGTAATTTGAGTATTCTGTTTTGTGAGATGTCTTTTCAAGTTTTGCTTTTCTTTTAATTTGATTGTCCATCTTAGACTTACTTGCTTGTTAGAGTTCTTTATGTATTCCAGAGATCAGCCTCTTGTTGACCGTATGTATTTAGAAGATCTTCTCCCATGATGGGGCTTGCTTTTGCAATATATTAATCACTTTAAATAATTTGTAATATATTTCAGTATATATTTTTCCTCTTTTGTAGTTGCTGCTTTTTTCCTATTTCTTTAAGAAATCAGCTCAACTCCAAGGTCAGCCTGATGTTCTCTTGTTTCCTGCTAAAATAGTTTTCATTTTAATATCAATTTAAATATGAATTCCATCTGAAATTTGATTTTGTATTTTGTCTGAAATAGGATTCCATGTACACTTTGTTTTCCAGAAGAGAATATAATTACATAGCACCAACCACCAATTTTTCCACTGAACTGTATTAATTAATATAGTTTTTTGTTAGGTCTTGATTTTTGAAATATAAATTCCCCAGATTTATTCTTCCAGACCATCTTCACTAATCCTGTGCTTTTGCATTTCTGTAATTTTAGTATCATTGTATCAATTTCTAAAAAAAACTTTCTTGGATTTTGAATTTTGGTTGAGATTTAAATGAATTTATAGAAAAATTTTGGAAATATTGACATCTTCACAACACTGAATGTTTCAATATGTGAACATACAACTGGGAAATATTGCTCCTCTTTCATTAGATTTATTTCTAGTATTTGATATTATTAATATTGCGATATTGTATTGATATTGCAATAGTAAGTGGCAACTTTTAGAAATATACATTTTCCAGTTGTTTGTTGCTAGAACATAAAATACAATTACTTTTTTATTTTTTTATTATTTTTTTAATCTTTCAATTTTCCTTTATTTTTTATTTTTTTATTATACTTTAAGTTCTAGGGTACATGTGCACAATGTGCAGATTTGTTACATATGTATACATGTGCCTTGCTGGTGTGCTGCACCCGTTAACTCCTCATTTACATTAGGCATATCTCCTAATGCTATCCGTTCCCCCTCCCCCGACCCCATGACAGGCTCTGGTGTGTGACATATTTCTCCCTGTGTCCAGGTGTTCTCATTATTCAATTTCCACCTATAAGTGAGAACATGCGGTGTTTGGTTTTCTGTCCTTGCAACAGTTTGCTCAGAATGATGGTTTCTAGCTTCATCTGTGTCCCTACAAAGGACATGAACTCATCCTTTTTTATGGTTGCATAGCATTCCATGGTGTATATGTGCCACATTTTCTTATTCCAGTCTATCATTGATGGGCATTTGGGTTGGTTCCAAGTCTTTGCTATTGTGAATAGTGCAGCAATAAACATACATGTGCATGTGTCTTTATAGCAGCATGATTTATAATCCTTTGGGTGTATGCCCAGTAATGGGATGGCTGGGTCAAATGGTATTTCTAGTTCTAGATCCATGAGGAATCGCCACACTGTCTTCCACAATGGTTGAACTAGTTTACAGTCCCACCAACAGCATAAAAGCATTCTTATTTCTCCACATCCTCTCCAGCACCTGTTTCTTCCTGACTTTTTTATTTATTTTTTATTTTTTTATTTTATTATTATTATATTTTAAGTTTTAGGGTACATGTGCACAATGTGCAGGTTAGTTACATATGTATACATGTGCCATGCTGGTGTGCTGCACCCATTAACTCGTCATTTAGCATTAGGTTATCTCCTAATGCTATCCCTCCCCCCTCCCCCCACCCCACAACAGTCCCCAGAGTGTGATGTTCCCCTTCCTGTGTCCATGTGTTCTCATTGTTCAATTCCCATCTATGAGTGAGAACATGCGGTGTTTGGTTTTTTGTCCTTGCGATAGTTTACTGAGAATGATTATTTCCAATTTCATCCATGTCCCTACAAAGGACATGAACTCATCATTTTTTATGGCTGCATAGTATTCCATGGTGTATATGTGCCACATTTTCTTAATCCAGTCTATCATTGTTGGACATTTGGGTTGGTTCCAAGTCTTTGCTATTGTGGATAGTGCCGCAATAAACATACGTGTGTGTGTGTCTTTATAGCAGCATGATTTATAGTCCTTTGGGTATATACCCAGTAATGGGATGGCTGGGTCACATGGTATTTCTAGTTCTAGATCCCTGAGGAATCGCCACACTGACTTCCACAATGGTTGAACTAGTTACAGTCCCACCAACAGTGTAAAAGTGTTCCTATTTCTCCACATCCTCTCCAGCACCTGTTGTTTCCTGACTTTTTAATGATTGCCATTTTAACTGGTGTGGGATGGTATCTCATTGCGGTTTTGATTTTTTTAATGACCATGTGTCCAGCAACCTTGTTAATTCTAAACATGAATTTTAAATAGTTTGTTGATTCTTTGGATGTTCTAGATATATCATCACATTGTCTGCAAATAATGACAGGCTTGATTTCACCTTTAAAATTTATGTGGAATTTTTTTAAAACCTTGTAACAGAGACTAGATAATTCAGAACATTGTTGAATAAGAAGAATAACAAGCATCTCTTCATTTTTCTTGATCTAAGAGGTGGTACTGGGATGTTTTCAGTATCCCAGCATTGAAAATCATGGCTTTATTAATAGTTTTTCTTTTCAATTAAAAATGTACTCTCCTTTGAGAGGCCAAGGTGAGAAGATTGCTTGAGCCCAGGAGTTTGAGACCAGCCTAGGCAACATAGTGAGATCTCATCTCTACAAAAAAATTTAAAAATTAGCCAGGTGTGGTGACACATGCCTGTAGTCTCAGCTAATTGTGAGGCTGAGGGAGGAGGATTGCTGAAGTGAGCCACGATCACGCCACTGTACTCCAGCCCTGGCTACAGAGTGAAACCCTGCCTCAAAATTATTAATTAATTAGTTAAATAATTTAAAAGGACTCTCATATTATTAGTTTAATAGTAATTTTTAGTAAAGAATGGGTATTGATTTTTTAATGTTTTCTGAAATTATCTAGATAATATGGTTGTTATGACTTTGATTCTTAATGTGGTTAAAGAAAACATTGATTGATAACCAATTGTTATCCAACTTTAGAGTTTTATAATAAGCCCTACTTGGTTGTGATGCAGCATCCTTTATATGTATTATGGAATTTAAGTTTCTAATATTTGTTAATGTTTGAGAGAAATTAGTTAGAAATTTTACTTTTTATGTTGTGCTTGTCATGTTTTATAGTAACGGTTATGCTTAAGTCCTAAGAAGGTATGGACACATCCATGTTATTTCTGTAGCAGTTCAGAGTAAATAAAAATTACAGATGGTCCCTGACTCCCTGACTTATAATGGTCAGTATTCAGTAGAAAATGTAGCTTGAGTACTCATATAATCCTTCCACTTCCACCTTTAGCTATAGTATTCAATAAATTTCGTGAGATCTTCAACACTTTATTATAAAAAGGCTTTGTGTTATATAATTTTCCCAACTGTAGGCTGATGTAAATGTTCTGAGCATATTTAAGGTAGGCAAAGCTAAGTTACGATGTTCCATAGGTGAGGTGTATAAAATGCATCTTTAATTTACAACATTTTCAACTTACAATGGGTTTATTGTGAGGTAACACCATTGTAAGTCAAGGAGGATCTGGATATCCATATACTTGACCCTTTTGTATCCACGCTGGTTTTGTTTGTTTATTTTATCCATTCTTTAAAGAAGGGCTTTACATTTCCAACTATGAATGTGCTTCCAGTTAAATTTCCAGTTTTATTGTTTAAAAATGTCTTCCATTGTATTTTATACACAATAGTTCTTCCCATTGCTTTTGTCTGATATTAATGTACCATGCCATTTTTATGCTTACTCTCTCTATGGTATATTTTTCATATTTTTAATTTTAGTACACATGTGTCTATAAATTTTAAATGTCTTTTTTAGCCAGAATATAGTAAGTGATTTTATCCCATCTGGCACTCTCTGTGTTTAATTGGTATATTTAATTAACTGACATTTAATATAATTATTGATATGATTATGTTTAAGTGTAAATTGTATCATTTTTCATTTTTTTCTATGACTTTTTTTCTCTCTTACTCCTTTTTTGCATCCTCTGGGTTGATTAAATATTACTTTTGCACTCCATTTTATTTACTGAAAGTACTATTGGCTACCTCTCATTTTACTCCTTTTATAAATGATTGACTTAGGCATATGATATGCAAAGTTAGGCATATTATATTCGAAACGTATCATTTAACAAAGTCAGTAGCACATCACACATTGGCGTTTCCCATGTCCTACTTCACACTTCTCAGTTCACATCTGAAAGTTGCTTTCTATCTCTCAACTCACACTTAAAGCTTCAATTTCCTACTTTACAAATGCAATGAACTGACAATGGTTTAATTTCATTCCCATATTATAATTGGTGCTAATGTTGTGATATTTTTCTTTTATATGAGCTATCTCAGATTTATAATTTTTGTTTTAGACAATTAGATACCTTAAGTAAAATTATGAGAAGTAAAAACACACAAACAAACGTACATGTATCAATTTATTTACTTTTGGTTTTGCTCATTTTTACTGAAAATATGATTATCTATGTGGTGTCATTATTTTTCATCCCAAATAACTTCATTTTTACATAGTGTAGTCCAGCTGGAAACGTTTATTTCATGTTTATCTTTTAAATGATATTTTCACTGGATACAGAAACCTGAAATACAAATTATTTAATTAGACAATAAAAAATAGTAGAATAAATCAAGAAGTTCAAATGTTGTTTTATTTTTAACTCAGCAGAATACATAAATATTGACTCAAATAATAGGAAGGAATGGAAGCATACATTCTCAATAAGAAAATGACAAGGAGTAAATAACTACCAAATGAAGGAAATTCTAATACATTATAAGAGATTTCTTTTATAATAATGTAAGAATAAAATTTTTAAAAACTTAAATGAAGTGTATCTTTTCCTACACAAACATTGTTATCTAGATTTATGCCAACAGAAATATATATATATAATATTTGACATGTTTATTATTGTTAAATATCTTTTATACCTGATAATATTCTTTTTTTAGAAATCTACTTTTTAAATGTTAATATAGCCAATCTAGCTTTCTTTGGTGTTTGTATGGAATATCTTTCTCCACTGATTTACTTTCAATCTGTATTTAAGTGGATGTTTATTTATTTATGGTAGAGTTCTTATAAAATATATATAGCTGGGTCTTGCTTTTAATAAAATCTGAATTATTTTTAACTGGTAGGTTCAAATCATTTGCATTTAATGTGATTATTCATATCTTGGATTAAAATCTATCATGCTGCTTAGTATTTTCTATTTTCCTTTTATTATTTTTTCCTTGTTTCCTCTTTTATACCTTCTTTTATATTATATGATTTTTTAAATTACTGTATTTTTAACTTCATTTATGCTTTATTTCTTACTCTGCTCTTCAAAATTTTATTGAGTATACTAGCATTTATAATATTAATCTGTAAGTAATCACAATCTTTCTTCAAATAATATCACAGTGCTTCATACATAATGTACAAAACTCATAACAATATCATCCCAATTCCCCCTCCCAAGCTTTGTGCTATTGCTTTCATACATTTTATTTTACATATAGAAACAAACAATATGTTGGTATTATTTATTCTATACACAGTCAGTTATCTTTTAGATTGATAAAAAGAGAAAAAATGAATTGTATAATCATTTCAATTTTACAACTTTCTTACTGCAATGCTTGTGGCTATATGACATCTTATTCTTTCTGCCTGAAGAGCTTCCTTAACCAATTTTACTAGTGAAAATTCAATAATATGAGATCTTTCTGTTTTTGATTTTTTGAAAAGCTTTAATGTCCTTTTGATTTCTAAGACATATTTTTTGCTGAATACAGAATTCTAGTTTGAGGTTTTTTTTCTTTCAGCATTTAAAAAAATGTCACTCATTGTCTTCTGGTATACATAGTATCTAATAAAAAGTCTGCTGTAATATTGATCTTTGACAACTGTAAGTAATGTGTCTTCTGACTGGCTGTATTTAATATTTTCTACCTGTATCTTTGTTTCTTGCTGATATTATGTGACATTCTTGGATGTGTGGTTTCATATCTTTCATTTTGATAAAAAAAAGAACAATCATTATTTTTTCAAATATTTTTTCTGCCTCATTCTTTCTTATCTTTATCTGGGATCTCAATTACACAAAAGAAGTTAGACCCTTTGTGTTATTGTGTTATTTCACACATCTTCTGTAGTCTGTTTTTTTGTTTTTGTTTTTTTGACAGAGTTTTGCTCTTGTTGCCCAGGCTGCAGTACAATGGTGTGATCTCAGCTCACTACAACCTCTGCCTCCCGGGTTCAAGTGATTCTCCTGCCTCAGCTTACTGAGTAGGTGAGATTACAGGCATGTGCCACCACACCCCACTAATTTTGTATTTTTAGTACAGACAGAGTTTCACCATGTCGGTCAGGCTGGTCTTGAACTCCTGACCTCAGGTGATCTGCTTACCTCTGCCTCCCAAAGTGCTGGGATTACAGGTGTGAGCCACCACACCCAGCCAGTTCTTTTTATTTTTTTAATTTTTAATTTATTTTACCTTCACCTTGTTTTTTAAATTGTGTCATTTCTATTGTACTATCTTCAAGCCAATGATTCTTTTTTCAAATATATCAAAATTTTATAATAAGATCATCAGGCATTTTTAAATGTCTGTTACTATATTTTATTAGATTACCTTAGTTTTTCATCTGTGTTTTTTTTTCTGAAGAGCACCATGTATTCCTATTGTCCTTTTCCATCATATCAGAGGTTGGTAAACTATAAGCCATAGACCTTTCAGCTGTTCTCATAAATAAATTCTTATTGGGATACAGCCCTGTTCATTTATTTATGTTTTTATCTATGGATGTTTTTAGCTTAATGGAAGGGTCAAATAATTGTGGCATGTGTTGCATGGCTCTCCAAACTAAACATGTACTTCTCCTTGAAGAAAAATTTTACCAAAACCTGCACTAAGCTAACTACTACACATATGAAGAAAGCCATTTAAGACCAATGAGACCTTAGCCAAGTGTTTGTTAGAACTTTCAGCCTATCCTTGCCTTGCAGTATTATTAATTAAGTAAATGTGTAATGATTTGGTTATGCAGCACAATCTGGCTGGTATACCAATGAGCAATAGTCAGATCACAAAAGTTAGAAAAATCAAGCATTTACAATGAAGTAGAAAGTAAACAACACGAATTGTGGGCCAGGCACGGTGGCTTACACCTGTAATCTCAGCACTCTGGCAGGCCAAGGTGCACAGATTACCTGAGATCAGGAGTTCAAGACCAGCCTGGCCAACATGGTGAAACCCCATCTCTACTAAAAAATACAAAAATTAACTTTGTGTGGTGGTGGGCACCTGTAATCTTGGTTACTTGGGAGACAACAAAAAAAATAAGAAGTTGTGTGTTGAAAAACCACATTTTTTAATGAATAAATGGACTAGTGGAATAATAGAATGAACTGACATGGATAAAAGAGACTTAAGAGACCTATCATCCGAATGCAGTGAATAAACTTATTTGAATCCTGGTTCATATGAATTGACTATACAATTATATTTTAAGAAACTGGATAAAATTTTATATGAACTTTTTTATAGATTATGATAAAGGAGAATTTTAGTTTGTTAGATGTAATAACAATTTAGGGCTTCTTAAACAAGTCTACCCATTAGAGGTACATACCATATTATTTAAGGATGAAATTATAAACTATATGGGATTTCTTTTAACATATTCTAGCAAAAACAACTGGGTTAATACTTACATAAAAGAACAGAAATATGTGGATAATTGTTGAATTTAAATTATTAGACACATATGGATTAATTATACATTTGCTTTATTTTTATATATGGTTAACAATGTCAAAAATAAAACTTCAAAAATTGTATATATATATTCCTACATATATACGTATATAGAATGGGAAAAAATGGAAAAAAGATTATATGGAATAAAGCCTGTAATCCCAGCACTTTGGGAGGCCAAGGTGGGTGGATCATGAGGTCAAGAGTTCAAGACCAGCCTGGCCAATATGTTGAAACCTGGTCTCTACTAAAAATACAAAAATTAGCCGGGCTTGGCAAGCATGGTGGCATGCACCTGTAGTCCCAGATACTCGGAAGGCTTGAACCTGGGAGGCAGAGGTTGCAGTGAGCCAAGATCGCACCACTGCACTCCAGCCTGGGTGACAGAGGGAGACTGTCTCAAAAAAAAAAAAATAAAAACCTATCTAAGGCGCTGGTAAAAGACTATGTCTTGAAAGACATTTTTAGCAAAGTATCTCAATATATAACTAGATCATCAATAAAAACCTAAGTTACAAAGCTCTCCAAACATTATCATGATCAATACACTAATGCTGTTCTTTTTTTTTTTATATACTTTAAGTTTTAGGGTACATGTGCACATTGTGCAGATTAGTTACATATGTATACATGTGCCATGCTGGTGTGCTGCACCCACTAACTCATCATCTAGCATTAGGTATATCTCCCAATGCTATCCCTCCCCACTCCCCCCACCCCATCACAGTCCCCAGAGTGTGATATTCCCCTTCCTGTGTCCATGTGATCTCATTGTTCAATTCCCACCTATGAGTGAGAATATGCGGTGTTTGGTTTTTTGTTCTTGCGATAGTATACTGAGAATGATGATTTCTAATTTCATCCATGTCCCTACAAAGGACATGAACTCATCATTTTTTATGGCTGCATAGTATTCCATGGTGTATATGTGCCACATTTTCTTAATCCAGTCTATCATCGTTGGACATTTGGGTTGGTTCCAAGTCTTTGCTATTGTGAATAATGCCGCAATAAACATACGTGTGCATGTGTCTTTATAGCAGCATGATTTATAGTCCTCTGGGTATATACCCAGTAATGGGATGGCTGGGTCAAATGGTATTTCTAGTTCTAGATCCCTGAGGAATCGCCACACTAACTTCCACAATGGTTGAACTAGTTTACAGTCCCACCAACAGTGTAAAAGTGTTCCTAATTCTCCACATCCTCTCCAGCACCTGTTGTTTCCTGACTTTTTAATGATTGCCATTCTAACTGGTGTGAGATGGTATCTCATTGTGGTTTTGATTTGCATTTCTCTGATGGCCAGTGATGATGAGCATTTCTTCATGTGTTTTTTGGCTGCATAAATGTCTTCTTTTGAGAAGTGTCTGTTCATGTCCTTCGCCCACTTTTTGATGGGGTTGTTTGTTTTTTTCTTGTAAATTTGTTGGAGTTCATTGTAGATTCCGGATATTAGCCCTTTGTCAGATGAGTAGGTTGTGAAAATTTTCTCCCATTTTGTAGGTTGCCTGTTCACTCTGATGGTAGTTTCTTTTGCTGTGCAGAAGCTCTTTAGTTTAATTAGATCCCATTTGTCAATTTTGGCTTTTGTTGCCATTGCTTTTGGTGTTTTGGACATGAAGTCCTTGCCCATGCCTATGTCCTGAATGGTAATGCCTAGGTTTTCTTCTAGGGTTTTTATGGTTTTAGGTCTAACGTTTAAGTCTTTAATACATCTTGAATTGATTTTTGTTTAAGGTGTAAGGAAGGGATCCAGTTTCAGCTTTCTACATATGGCTAGCCAGTTTTCCCAGCACCATTTATTAAATAGGGACTCCTTTCCCCATTGCTTGTTTTTCTTGGGTTTGTCAAAGATCAGATAGTTGTAGATATGTGGCATTATTTCTGAGGGCTCTGTTCTGTTCCATTGATCTATATCTCTGTTTTGGTACCAGTACCATGCTGTTTTGGTTACTGTAGCCTTGTAGTATAGTTTGAAGTCAGGTAGCGTGATGCCTCCAGCTTTGTTCTTTTGGCTTAGGATTGCCTTGGTGATGCGGGCTCTTTTTTGGTTCCATATGAACTTTAAAGTATTTTTTTCCAATTCTGTGAAGAAAGTCATTGGTAGCTTTATGGTGATGGCATTGAATCTGTAAATTACCTTGGGCAGTATGGCCATTTTCACGATATTGATTCTTCCTACCCATGAGCATGGAATGTTCTTCCATTTGTTTGTATCCTCTTTTATTTCATTGAGCAGTGGTTTGTAGTTCTCCTTGAAGAGGTCCTTCACATCCCTTGTAAGTTGGATTCCTAGGTATTTTATTCTCTTTGAAGCAATTGTGAATGGGAGTTCACTCATGATTTGGCTCTCTGTTTGTCTGTTATTGGTATAAGAATGCTTGTGATTTTTGTACATTGATTTTGTATCCTGAGACTTTGCTGAAGTTGCTTATCAGCTGAAGGAGATTTTGGGCTGAGACAATGGGGTTTTGTAGATATACAATCATGTCGTCTGCAAACAGGGACAATTTGACTTCCTCTTTCCCTAATTGAATACCCTTTATTTCCTTCTCCTGCCTAATTGCCCTGGCCAGAACTTCCAACACTATGTTGAATAGGAGTGGTGAGAGAGGGGGTCCCTGTCTTGTGCCAGTTTTCAAAGGGAATGCTTCCAGTTTTTGCCCATTCAGTATGATATTGGCTGTGGGTTTGTCATAGATGGCTCTTATTATTTTGAAATACGTCCCATCAATACCTAATTTATTGAGAGTTTTTAGCATGAAGGGTTGTTGAATTTTGTCAAAGGCTTTTTCTGCATCTATTGAGATAATCATGTGGTTTTTGTCTTTGGCTCTGTTTATATGCTGGATTACATTTATTGATTTGCGTATATTGAACCAGCCTTTCATCCCAGGGATGAAGCCCACTTGATCATGGTGGATAAGCTTTTTGATGTGCTGCTGGATTCGTTTTGCCAGTATTTTATTGAGGATTTTTGCATCAATGTTCATCAAGGATATTGGTCTAAAATTCTCTTTTTTGGTTGTGTCTCTGCCCGGCTTTGGTATCAGAATGATGCTGGTCTCATAAAATGAGTTAGGGAGGATTCCCTCTTTTTCTATTGATTGGAATAGTTTCAGAAGGAATGGTTCCAGTTCCTCCTTGTACCTCTGATAGAATTTGGCTGTGAATCCATCTGGTCCTGGACTCTTTTTGGTTGGTAAACTATTGATTATTGCCACAATTTCAGCTCCTGTTATTGGTCTATTCAGAGATTCAACTTCTTCCTGGTTTAGTCTTGGGAGAGTGTATGTGTCGAGGAATTTATCCATTTCTTCTAGATTTTCTAGTTTATTTGCGTAGAGGTGTTTGTAGTATTCTCTGATGGTAGTTTGTATTTCTGTGGGATCTGTGGTGATATCCCCTTTATCATTTTTTATTGTGTCTATTTGATTCTTCTCTCTTTTGTTCTTTATTAATCTTGCTAGTGGTCTATCAATTTTGTTGATCCTTTCAAAAAACCAGCTCCTGGATTCATTAATTTTTTGAAGGGTTTTTTGTGTCTCTATTTCCTTCAGTTCTGCACTGATTTTCGTTATTTCTTGCCTTCTGCTAGCTTTTGAATGTGTTTGCTCTTGCTTTTCTAGTTCTTTTAATTGTGATGTTAGGGTGTCAATTTTGGATCTTTCCTGCTTTCTCTTGTGGGCATTTAGTGCTATAAATTTCCCTCTACACACTGCTTTGAATGTGTCCCAGAGATTCTGGTATGTTGTGTCTTTGTTCTCGTTGGTTTCAAAGAACATCTTTATTTCTGCCTTCATTTTGTTATGTACCCAGTAGTCATTCAGCAACAGGTTGTTCAGTTTCCATGAGGTTGAGCAGTTTTGAGTGAGATTCTTAATCCTGAGTTCTAGTTTGATTGCACTGTGGTCTGAGAGATAGTTTGTTATAATCTCTGTTCTTTTACATTTGCTGAGGAGAGCTTTACTTCCAAGTATGTGGTCAATTTTGGAATAGGTTGGTGTGGTGCTGAAAAAAATGTATATTCTGTTGATTTGGGGTGGAGAGTTCTGTAGATGTCTATTAGGTCCACTTGGTGCAGAGCTGAGTTCAATTCCTGGGTATCCTTGTTGACTTTCTGTCTCGTTGATCTGTCTAATGTTGACAGTGGGGTGTTAAAGTCTCCCATTATTAATGTGGAAGTCTAATTCTCTTTGTAGGTCACTCAGGACTTGCTTTACGAATCTGGGTGCTCCTGTATTGGGTGCATATATATTTAGGATAGTTAGCTCTTCTTGTTGAATTGATCCCTTTACCATTATGTAATGGCCTTCTTTGTCTCTTTTGATCTTTGTTGGTTTAAAGTCTGTTTTATCTGAGACTAGGATTGCAACCCCTGCCTTTTTTTGTTTTCCATTTGCTTGGTAGATCTTCCTCTGTCCTTTTATTTTGAGCCTATGTGTGTCTCTGCACGTGAGATGGGTTTCCTGAATACAGCATACTGATGGGTCTTGACTCTTTATCCAATTTGCCAGTCTGTGTCTTTTAATTGGAGCATTTGGTCCATTTACATTTAAAGTTAATATTGTTATGTGTGAATTTGATCCTGTCATTATGATGTTAGCTGGTGATTTTGCTCGTTAGTTGATGCAGTTTCTTCCTAGTCTTGATGGTCTTTACATTTTGGCATGATTTTGCAGCGGCTGGTATCGGTTGTTCCTTTCCGTGTTTAGCACTTCCTTCAGGAGCTCTTTTAGGCCAGGCCTGGTGGTGACAAAATCTCTCAGCATTTGCTTGTCTGTAAAGGATTTTATTTCTCCTTCACTTATGAAGCTTAGTTTGGCTGGATATGAAATTCTGGGTTGAAAATTCTTTTCTTTAAGAATGTTGAGTATTGGCCCCCACTCTCTTCTGGCTTGTAGGGTTTCTGCTGAGAGATCCACTGTTAGTCTGATGGGCTTCCCTTTGAGGGTAACCCGACCTTTCTCTCTGGCTGCCCTTAACATTTTTTCCTTCATTTCAACTTTGGTGAATCTGACAATTATGTGTCTTGGAGTTGCTCTTCTCGAGGAGTATCTTTTTGGCGTTCTCTGTATTTCCTGAATCTGAACGTTGGCCTGCCTTGCTAGATTGGGGAAGTTCTCCTGGATAATATCCTGCAGAGTGTTTTCCAACTTGGTTCCATTCTCCCCATCACTTTCAGGTACACCAATCAGACGTAGATTTGGTCTTTTCACACAGTCCCATATTTCTTGGAGGCTTTGCTCATTTCTTTTTATTCTTTTTTCTCTAAACTTCCCTTCTCGCTTCATTTCATTCAGTTCATCTTCCATTGCTGATACCCTTTCTTCCAGTTGATCGCATTGGCTCCTGAGGCTTCTGCATTCTTCACGTAGTTCTCAAGCCTTGGTTTTCAGCTCCATCAGCTCCTTTAAGCACTTCTCTGTATTGGTTATTCTAGTTATACATTCTTCTAAATTTTTTTCAAAGTTTTCAACTTTTTTGCCTTTGGTTTGAATGTCCTCCCGTAGCTCAGAGTAATTTGATCATCTGAAGCCTTCTTCTCTCAGCTCGTCAAAGTCATTCTCCATCCAGTTTTGTTCCGTTGCTGGTGAGGAACTGCGTTCCTTTGGAGGAGGAGAGGCGCTCTGAGTTTTAGAGTTTCCAGTTTTTCTGTTCTGTTTTTTCCCCATCTTTGTGGTTTTATCTACTTTTGGTCTTTGATGATGGTGATGTACAGATGGGTTTTTGGTGTGGATGTCCTTTCTGTTTGTTAGTTTTCCTTCTAACAGACAGGACCCTCAGCTGTAGGTCTGTTGGAATACCCTGCCGTGTGAGGTGTCAGTGTGCCCCTGCTGGGGGGTGCCTCCCAGTTAGGCTGCTCGGGGGTCAGGGGTCAGGGACCCACTTGAGGAGGCAGTCTGCCCGTTCTCAGATCTCCAGCTGCGTGCTGGGAGAACCACTGCTCTCTTCAAAGCTGTCAGACAGGGACATTTAAGGCTGCAGAGGTTACTCCTGTCTTTTTGTTTGTCTGTGCCCTGCCCCCAGAGGCGGAGCCTACAGAGGCAGGCAGGCCTCCTTGAGCTGTGGTGGGCTCCACCCAGTTCCAGCTTCCCTGCTGCTTTGTTTACCTAAGCAAGCCTGGGCAATGGCGGGCGCCCCTCCCCCAGCCTAGCTGCCGCCTTGCAATTTGATCTCAGACTGCTGTGCTAGCAATCAGCGAGACTCCGTGGGCGTAGGACCCTCCGAGCCAGGTGCGGGATATAATCTCGTGGTGGGCCGTTTTTTAAGCCGGTCCAAAAAGCACAATATTCGGGTGGGAGTGACCCGATTTTCCAGGTGCGTCCGTCACCCCTTTCTTTGACTCGGAAAGGGAACTCCCTGACCCCTTGCGCTTCCCAAGTGAGGCAATGCCTTGCCCTGCTTCGGCTCGCGCCTGGTGCGTGCACCCACTGGCCTGCGCCCACTGTCTGGCACTCCCTAGTGAGATGAACCCGGTACCTCAGATGGAAATGCAGAAATCACCTGTCTTCTGCCTCGCTCACGCTGGGAGCTGTAGACTGGAGCTGTTCCTATTCGGCCATCTTGGCTCCTCCCCACTAATGCTGTTCTTCTAGACATGTTTGAAATAGGGGCATTGCTATAATGAATGGCTAGCAAGTAGGACAACCTATAAGAAAGGTACACAAAATTAATACTTTAAGGCTATATTGCATTTGGCAATGGCAGGTAATCTATTGGGTATGGGTAGAATACTACAAATAAGTGCTTCATTATTTTGCATGAGTAAAATTGTAAAAGCAGAAAAGAAGTCTTCACTGATCAGATTTTAGAGCATATTATATTTTACTTGTTTCTATTTTCTCCTTCTTGCAGGTGAGCCAAGTTTATCTGTTTCGTGAGGTTACACTTGGGTAGAGCATTGGTTGGTAAGAATCTCAATCAATTATGCTCACTGGAATGAGACAAGAACAGAAGTGTACCTTCCCCTGCCTTTTATAAATTCAATTATGTGTATTTGTTTCATTCCTAGTCCTTGTTTGAATGTGGACTATTGAATATAGGGCAACATTTAAACAACCAAGAGAGACTAAATTAATTTATATTTAAATCTAATGACGGTCAGATAGTCCACAGAATGAGAGCCCAGGTTTGCATGGGCTGTGTGAACCGCAGGTTTTCTGAGGATGAGGGAAATATAGGAGAGACATGAACTATTTCTGTGAAGATTCAGGGACATTCAGGTGAATAAAGGTGATTGTAGGTCATTTTTCTGTGAGTCATAAGTTGCTATTTTATTGAGAGGCCCTTGGTAAAGCTGCAGTTAACATTTAAGTTGCTGTTTGATTCTTTTGTTCGTATCATACTGGTTTTCTTTTGAATGTGATATTGTTTAGAGACAGGTTACAAGGTAGCCCAGTTTTATTCAACTTAGAGGAAAGGCTGTCCTCCTAGGTTCTGAGTATAGGTTATCTGTTGGTCTATGTTTAGGGTTCTTCTGAGTTCCTATTTTGTTGTATTGTCTTTATCCATCTTTTAATGAAAACTAAAGAGAGGCTGTTTTCCAAATGCGATTTTAAAACACAATTTTAAAGTGTTCTTCTCTAGCCTAGATTTTTTTCTTGCGATTTAAACCATAATCACAAAAATCTCCAAAGTCCTTCGCAAACAAACATTGTTTATTCATTTTCTAGTTACAGAACAAAAATATTAATGCTACTTTAAAACACAGATTTTGATTTTTTTTCTCAAAGCAAAGCCTATTTTGCAGATACCCCATCATAAATCACTGCTATTTGTAATAGTCACATCCATCATTTGACCTTTCTA
Source organism: Homo sapiens (assembly GCF_000001405.40). NCBI lineage: Eukaryota > Metazoa > Chordata > Mammalia > Primates > Hominidae > Homo > Homo sapiens. The sequence goes on from NC_000006.12 coordinate 164,789,216, forward strand.
CTGTATATAACATGACAACAAAAATCATGCTCCAAAGAGATAATATTCTTATTAAATTCTGTGTCCTATTACAGTATTTGGTTTTTAAAATCAGTGAACTCTCACTTCAACATTTTACTAATAACAAGTGGCTAATGCTTGAAAACAACAGAAATGACCTTTTTCGGCCCCATGTTAATCCCTGTGTAAAGGACAAACAAGTGTTTTAGCATAAACCAATCCCAGAATGTAACCATGATCTAAAATATACTAACAATTAAACAATAATTCAGAGGCTTTGATTTTAAGTACTCTGTGTAACAGATTAAAAGAACGCCATCCACGTATTCCAGGAGAAAAACCAATTAAGCCAACCATATAATGAGCAATGATGCTCTCTCACATCTGCCAGCAAAAACAATCAACTTAGTCTATCATAGACTGGTATGTTTCTACTCAGTATTCTATATGGGTGACTTAAATCAACAAACCAAGTGCACAGAACCAACACTTGGTTATATGGCTGTGAAGTAACAGCTTTAAGAACCAAAGGTCTTTCAAATGGTTTATGGCTGGTGCTTTAGATCTTGGGTCAAAGTAAGAAGAAAGAAAATTTATAATATTTTTCACGCCATATTTTCTGGATATTTGTCCTCATCTTGTGGTCCTAATATTACCTTTTAGTCAATTTGAGAAAATGTTATAAACTTTTCAAAAAGTAAGTTGAGCTTAGGTGATAGGCACTGAGTTCCACATTTTCCTAATATTGGATTTTTTCCCTGAAAATTAAGACTGAAAGTATCATTGATGTGTTATCTGTTTTTCATTTACTCCAACACTTAGATATTTACGCAATCTTAGAACTAATTTTATTTAAATCTTTAAAATTATTTCTGGAAGACCATGTCATCTCTGAGTGACTTTTTTTTGTTGCTTTGGAGGGAGGTATCAGTACTCTATTAATAATCCAAATCATGATTCATAAGGAAGAGTCATTATTGTATCTTTAGGAACCAAAGAACATGTAAATTGGGGATATTTATATTTAGTCTTTCAGTTTCTCTGGGCCAAACAAAGAAATGAGAAATGAAACACGTAACATTCAGTCATACCCTTAATACCTTTGTTCCTCAGGCTCCCCAGGACCTGAAGGAAATAAATGGATTTCCAACAACTCCAATGAGGCAAATAAGAGCAAACTAAAATTAGCATTCATTTATTCATACTCTCAACAAATATTGAGTGCCTTCTGTATTCTCAGCACAATTTTGAAATAATGCACAAATGTGCAATGTTATAACTAGATTTTCATATTAACTTTTCCACTTGGTGTATGATTTTCCTTCCGTTCATAAATCTAAGCCTAGTTTTCTGGGCCAAATAACAAAAACCTAAGAGATTTCATGAGAAGTGTGCATGTGTGTGTGTGTGTGTGTGTGTGTAAAACATACAGCCCAAAACTTAATAGGTATATAAGTATATTCTTGGTTTCTTCATTTGGGAAACTGTCAATCATGGTAAAGATATATGAGCATTTTGGCTATAATCTTACAAACTTTATGTTAGCACTTTCTCATCAACTGATGTATTATATCAAATAGTATTTCACTGCATTAATGCTTTATGTATCTATTTCACATTTTTACATGATAAAAATACAACTTAAAAAAATTTATTCATTATTCATGATTATATCTTTAAGTATATGTATATTAAATATTTATCATTTTCCTATTTTTCTATAATCCTATTTAAGGGTCTGGCACATGTTTAATTTCACTCATTTGAACATTTATTAATGTATATATTTATTAAAATATTTATATTTATAGTTTATTCCTACTGATTATTTATAGTTTATTCTTAATTTATTCTTATTATTCTTCTTGATTAAGATGTTACATTTATTGATTATATCTATACATTTTGTAAATAGTTAAATACAAAAAAACACAACATATATGATCCATGAAGACACTGCTTCTGCCTACCTTAGTAATTCTATACAGCACTTCAAAAGCAACAACTTAAGGTCAAAATGAATAAGTTGATAATTGTTGTAGGACTTTTTTCAGTGAATTGTGGAGTATTCTGATAGCCAATAAAAGAGAAGATGAAAGCATTATATGTGTGTAATATTATGAGTGGCTGCAGTTATAATTTTGATTGAGAAAAATATCCAACAACATTAAATAGTTTTGATAGTATACAAGTCTCCTTTATAAACGTACTCATTCTTTTTTCGAACACTTGCGTGAAGTACACTAAATTTATAAGAAAAAATATTGACTATGGTTTTACTTTAAGTATTATGATGACTATTATTATATATGCTACATTTCATTGTCTATGCTAGGCAGGTGCTTTACATGCAATAACTAATTCATTAGTAAAAATGGTGTATTGAGAACATACTAGATTTTGATGAAGTTCTAAGGTCAAAGGAATATTTGGTAGTTTTTAAATTTTATAAATAATTAAAGCATTATTTAAAATAATGCTGTGGTAAGCATCTTTGCTATAAGCATTTTTGTACATATTATTTATATTTTTCTTAGAAAATATATTTTTAAAAGAATCAGCAGGGCCAGATTTATTTGGTGCATCACCACACCATATATGCTGCTTTGCCCAGTGCTGCTAAAGCATGCTCCCACACTAACATACTAACAAACAATCTCATAGTTTTAAGTTGGCACATTCTCCATTTTCTCTGTGATAGAAAATCTTTTTATATTCATGGCTAGCCTTATTTCTTTTTCTACAAATTACCTGTTCAAGTATTCTTGAGGTCTCATTGAGTAGTTAATTTGCAAGCAACCTTTATATTCTCAAGTAAATAATATTGTATAGTTTTTTGTTATAACACGTTCAAAAGAAAAAGAGAGCAGTATTTGAAATTATCTTGCATATATTTGTGATGTTATTTAACTAAAATCTTAAGATATCCTTTAAATTTCAAAAATTAAGCACAACCGGCTGGGTGCGGTGGCTCACGCCTGTAATCCCAGCACTTTGGGAGGCCAAGGCGGGTGGATCACGAGGTCAGGAGATCGAGACCATCCTGGCTAACAAGGTGAAACCCCGTCTCTACTAAAAAAAATACAAAAAATTAGCCGGGCGCGGTGGCAGGCGCCTGTAGTCCCAGCTACTCGGGAGGCTGAGGCAGGAGAATGGCGTGAACCCAGGAAGCAGAGCTTGCAGTGAGCCGAGAGCTTGCAGTGCGCCACTGCAGTCCGCAGTCCGGAACTGGGCGACAGAGCGAGACTCCGTCTCAAAAAAAAAAAAAAAAAAAAAAAAAAAAAAATTAAGCACAACCTTATATTACAATTTTTGTTTATATTTATTATAGTTATCAGGTTGTTATAGTTACATTATTTTAAGATGCTTTGTGTGTATATTTTTAACAATGAAACCAATTATTGATGTGTCTCATATATTATTTTTCAAATATAATAACTTAGCTGTAGTTTAGCTATAAGAAATACTGTATATGTCAATTGCATCTATTATGTTACATCTGTCACAGTCACCATGTCCTTAGCAATATAACACATGGATAAAGTACGATTACATAAATCTTATGGGCAGGGACATTTGTTTATAACTGTCTATTTTTGGTGATTTTTATTCTTGCCCCATATGGAGTGGGTACTGTCTATCAAGTGAGACTTGGCAGTAGCTGCAGGAGCAGCAGCATCAAGAGTGAGCACACTGATGAAAACAGAAGAGGAGCTGCAGATCAGATTTCTTCAGGAGGAGGAAGGAAGTAATAGGTCAAGGGAAGGAGAAGCAGCAGACAGAGAAAAAACTGGCCAGAGTAGTAGCAGAAGATCTAAGGAGGATGGGGAAGCAGAGGGCTTTACAAAAAGCATCATGAACAGTGTTGTATGCTGAAGGGAGACTGAATGCAGGGGAGACTCAGAGTGCCTGGAATAAGCAACAAAGAGGTTCATAAGCCAAGTGGAATGACTCAGTCATAAGACAGTAAGGATACCTGAAAGACCACACTCTTTGGAGAAGTATCCCAAAGAAGAGAGGGTGATATGGAATCAGGGAGAGAGACACTGGGAGAAGAGCCTCTCTTCTTGAAAAGGCACATGGAGAAAGAGGGAGGCATGGGTAAATATGGTTTATTTTTCCTGGGCCCTGGGAAGTTAAAGGAGTTCCCACCAGATGGTCCTGACTTAATGAGATAATTTAGTGGTGCGAAGGAAGGCTGAGAAGAACGTTGCAAGTCTGTGGATACTGAAGGGAAGAGAGAGGCCCCACAGCAGCTGAGAACCACGTGTAGTGAGCATGAATTTGTACTGGGCTGATTTTCGTGATTACAGGATGTTTTTTAGCATTGAAGAACTTAATGTTTAGTGTTCTGCTGTCCTGGAGGTAAGAATAGAGAAGGCAACGTGGATGTTAAGCTAGAGCTATGTATGAGAGTTATTGCAAACAGAGGAGGAAAGGCAAGTTTAAGTGAAATAGTCACTCAGATGGGATGACCAATCGTAGTGTCTACAACTGATAGGACTTGGAAATTGACTAAGGAAACTGATGACCTGGGAGGAAACAAAGTCATTCGAGGGAGCAGTGGTCTGAAGAAGTTTATGGGGAGTGAGAACTTGAAACTCACCTAACAGTGGGGTTGCAAGGCTATGGTCAAGATGTTGGACTCTGAGGTTCTGATGATGAGGTTCAGTGCCTTAGGCTGGGTGACTTAAGAGGAGTGGAGTTGGAGATCAGGAAATCACAGGCTGACACCCCAACGCCAAACTTCAATCCACAGCTCTAGGTTGGGTGGCACTTGCCTGAGGTTTGCGCTGACATCTTTCACAAAGCTTCTCATGTCCCTCCCTCTCCCTTGGCCACAGGTTGACTTCATCTCCTGTGTCCTCAAGATTTCCTGCATATTCCTGTTTGTTCTCATGTTCTCAAATCCTTAATTCCATCAAGCATCCAAGAACCTTGACATAAGAACAACAACAGAAAAACACATCAAACATTAGTTCAGGGACATTGAAAGAAAAACAACTTAAAAATTAGTTACGAATTACACAGGTAAATAATGGATGATACAGAAAGTTTTAACCATCTTCTACCTAAGCTAACAATTTAGATTTTTCCCTGTGCAGTGGTAAGTCTTCCCTGCCAATATTCATCCGGTCATCAAATTACTAGCTATGTTGAGTCTAGACACAGAAACCAGGACCTAAGTCCTAAGAATCTCACCATACGACACGCATGGTGTGCATCTGGTCCCCGCAAGATGATCCCAACCTGGTGGCCCATTACTGGCCATCTAAATGGAAGTTAATGTTTCCATGCCATTGTCACTATTCAAAGGACACATGGAGAAATTACAAATGGCTACAATCTTAAGTCATCAGCCCATCTTCTTTTAAAAAGTAAATAAGACTCTTTTTTTTTCTCCCAGCTGCTCAGTCACTTTTTGTGACAGAAATGCCGTGTCATTATCCTTCAATGTGAACTCCACAGGAAGGCTGAAAATGAACTAAAGAGCCTGGAAAATGTGGCTTGGTCAAGATCTACCTATCAGCAAGCACTCGAGCAATGTCTGAGTGGCCTGGTAATGGAGCCCCTCACAGAGCCTGTCACCAGCCAATCACAGGCATCACTCGGAGGCATTTTCCCTTGGACGTAGCCAGCATCCTGTTTCTTCAAGTTCAAAAACTAAAGCTTCCATATACCCCACCCTCTCAACGGAGAAGCTGAATGTAAACTGTCCGTGCTAGGAAATGTGGTAACAAGCAGTGAGTAATGAAGGGTCCCCTGCTTGCTGCCTCAGTATTTCCCTGACTATTCTTTTTTCTTTCTATCATCCCTTTCTTTTAACTGGCATTCGTTTTCTGAACTATTTTCCGTGACAGATGCTTAACCTTCACTTTGCTTTCCTGAAACGTGGCCTGGAGAATCAGGTCTTTTCAATATGCTCTATGTGTTTTTCCCCCTCTGCCAACATTAGTATTTGAAAAAAATTTGGGGACCGCATAAAGCTGGCAGGACAGAGCCATCCACACCATATTTCTTTGTTATTTGTGCTTAATATATTGTTGGCAGCCTTGTCTGTTTTAGCTTGTTGGCAGGATTTGGTCTCTCTTTCCCTGGCACTATTCCCTCGTTTTTGAACATGCAGGGAAATTTATTTAGAGAGCTTTCCAACAGTCCATTTTTAGACCCATGGATGTAAAACTCACCAGTCGACCCTGTTCCATCAAACGGCCAAGAAGCAGTCCTCATTGTAATTAATCATTACAATAATCATTAATAATTACTGACATGCACATAAGTTTTGAATCTTAAAAACACAACATATATTTGCAACTTGCATAATGTCTCAGTAAAAACCTTCAGAAGACACTTGTGGCAAAGTGCAGAATCTCACAGTGAACTAGCAGCTGAGAGGCCATGAGGAGGCAGAACGCATTTGACAAAACGCAAAACGCCTTGAAATGCAGAAGAGTTTGGCAACATGCAGCTATGACAGTGAACTCTAGTATTTGTTGCATTTGGTTTTAGCTCATTATAAAGAAAATGTGTTGCAAATCAGGTAGAAGAAGCTGCTCCCTAATAATTAAAGCATGTGTCCTAAACAGGTAGTCAATTTCTTGACCGGAGGCAACCTTGAGCTGATAGCACATGTCAGTTCAGAGGATGTAGTGCAAGGAGTGAATTTCATCAGTTCTATATAAAAAGAGATTTCACCTTGATCACTGCTGTCTGCTTAATGGTTGTTCCAGTTCACATCTCATTTGATTAACAGAAATTTAGAGAAAAAAAATTAAAACTGGTGAAAAAAATTCATCAAAATGGAAAATCAGTCACTGGCATCCCCTACAGCAGCCCCACTATACTTGAGCTAACAACTTACAGCCCCTCTCTAACCTATACATAAATCGTTCTTCAGAGTTTATTCCAATCATCAAAACCTGCAAGTACATGGATCATGTACTGCCAAAAGATTCTGCATTGGCATTTAAAATACGAATTTAAAAGCTTAAAAATATATACCGCATTAAGGATGTTTATCTCTGAGATGTGGGACTGTTTTCTTTTTGTATTCTTTTGCATGTAATCCTTTTATAATTGGATGAACAATATGTAATTTTAAGAAAGTAGAGAATTTCTTTCCTCAAGTATCAGGAGAATGAACAATCTTAAAATTAAAATCAACTTTTTGTGCAAGAATTTTCCAAACACTTGAGCAATTTTTGACTTAAATCCAAGGTTTCATGACTGAAGGTGTACTTAGCAACTATCCCATGGTGCACACTCCAAAAACTCTACTCCAATATGCCAGTGAGTGTTTTCTACTCCAAAGAATAGTGAACTATGTCCTGTGAGCCCAACTTGACTGGTTCCTTCTTTTCCTATGGCCCACAAGCACATAATAATAGTTTTCATCTTTTCAAAGGGTTTATTTTAAATGGTTATTTTAGTACCTACACAATCCCTTCTGCTTTTGGTATTTTTGTTTGACAGCAAAACCTAAAACATTTATTTTCTGGCCCTTTAAGAAAGAACTCACCAGTCACCGATGTAACAAAAAGTGGTCCATATTGAAAGAATTGTAGGATACAGTAAGTAAAAACAGGAAAACGTTTTTTCACTCAATCCCTCTCAAGGCTTTAATGTGCTATTAGGTATTATAACTATAACTAAATTATAACTATAACTATGCATCCTCCCCAAACTATTTGACCATTTAGAGTTTCCTTCTAGGCAGGCTTTATGATATATTCAAGGTTATTATGAAGTGTGGTGCATTGTTATTCAACTAAAGGAAGTTTGCTCTGTACCTTTATAGGAATTCATAAAGACAAGTTACTACATTCAGGTCCCAGATGCAGCTCTTTATGGAAAATGACATCATGTAAAACAGTGCCTCTGTCTGCTCAGAGTTCACAATCATTTCAAGAAATAAAAGACTGTTTTTTTTAAGTGTAGAAATGGTATGTCTCAAAGACATCAGTAATAGAAATAAAAGCCAGTAATTAAATTTGGATTTATTCTCTTTTTTCTAGCACACAGCCTTTGGGATGGGGTAGAGAAAGAAGTGCCCTTCCTTACAAAGACAGGAAATCAGGCATCTCAGTTTTAAGAATTGCGTCTCTTTATCCGCAGGGATTGGTAAACAGACTTTTCAAAGTGTTGCTAAGAACCATAAAACTCTTGTATCTTTTGTCTATCAGGCTTCAGAGAGAACGAGGAATGAAGAAGAGCTGAAAAGAACATGTGTAAGAGATCAGGAGAGGGTGGGGGATGTGATCTTGAAGCCCAGAGCATGGTCTGCAGAGTGTTCCAGGGACAGTAAATAGCCAAGTGTGCAGGGCCAGCGCACAGTGCAAAGAGGCACCTGCGAGTTCCAGAGCTGCCAGATAAAGCCCTGCACACAAGCAGTGGGGAAAGGATTCCCTATTTAATAAATGGTGCTGGGAAAACTGGCTAGCCATGTGTAGAAAGCTGAAACTGGATCCCTTCCTTACACCTTATACAAAAATCAATTCAAGATGGAATAAAGACTTAAACGTTAGACCTAAAACCATAAAAACCCTAGAAGAAAACCTAGGCATTACCATTCAGGACACAGGCATGGGCAAGGACTTCATGTCTAAAACACCAAAAGCAATGGCAACAAAAGACAAAATTGACAAATGGGATCTAATTAAACTAAAGAGCTTCTGCACAGCAAAAGAAACTACCATCAGAGTGAACAGGCAACCTACAAAATGGGAGAAAATTTTTGCAACCTACTCATCTGACAAAGGGCTAATATCCGGAATCTACAATGAACTCCAACAAATTTACAAGAAAAAAACAAACAACCCCATCAAAAAGTGGGCGAAGGACATGAACAGACACTTCTCAAAAGAAGACATTTATGCAGCCAAAAAACACATGAAAAAATGCTCACCATCACTGGCCATCAGAGAAATGCAAATCAAAACCACAATGAGATACCATCTCACACCAGTTAGAATGGCAATCATTAAAAAGTCAGGAAACAACAGGTGCTGGAGAGGATGTGGAGAAATAGGAACACTTTTACACTGTTGGTGGGACTGTAAACTAGTTCAACCATTGTGGAAGTCAGTGTGGTGATTCCTCAGGGATCTAGAACTAGAAATACCATTTGACCCAGCCATCCCATTACTGGTTATATACCCAAAGGACTATAAATCATGCTGCTATAAAGACACATGCACACGTATGTTTATTGCGGCATTATTCACAATAGCAAAGACTTGGAACCAACCCAAATGTCCAACAATGATAGACTGGATTAAGAAAATGTGGCACATATACACCATGGAATACTATGCAGCCATAAAAAAGGATGAGTTCATGTCCTTTGTAGGGACATGGATGAAATTGGAAATCATCATTCTCAGTAAACTATCGCAAGAACAAAAAACCAAACACCACATATTCTCACTCATAGGTGGGACTTGAACAATGAGATCACATGGACACAGGAAGGGGAACATCACACTCTGGGGACTGTGGTGGGGTGGGGGGAGGGGGGAGGGATAGCATTGGGAGATATACCTAATGCTAGATGACGAGTTAGTGGGTGCAGCACACCAGCATGGCACATGTATACGTATGTAACTAACCTGCACAATGTGCACATGTACCCTAAAACTTAAAGTATAATAATAAAAAAAATTAATTAATTAAAAAATAAAAAATAAAAAAATAAAAAATAAAGCCCTGCACCAACATTGTGGCCCAGGAAATGTCACCAGGGAGGTTTGCCTTGCCCTGGCTGTGGGAATAAATAGTGCTCTGCCTGTTCTTTGGAACTTGTTTGTTCAGTTTTGATCATCACATGAATGGAATCAATATCATGCACATATGTTAAGACATTGCCAACAAAACACAGGACAGACAGACAGCAAAACACAGGACAGACAGCAAAACACAGGACAGACAGATAGCAAAACAAAGGACAGACAGCAAACACAGGGAATTGTTCAGGTTTCAAGGAGCTGAACTCTGTGAGGTAAGTTTTACGTATCTACTCATTGTAAATAAAAGTAATGTTTTAAAAGATGTTTTGCCTTGACGCAGAACATAAGCAAGTTCCCTGACTCAAAATATTCTACGCTCCACTACTTCAATTGTTCAGTTTTCGTAACTCCCCAGATCCTTCAACAGGCATCCAGGTCTGCCCAGGATGCAGCCCAGAGATTTCTGGTTTGCCCTGTTTAGAAATCCAAAAAGTCTGGCTTTTTACCTTTAGATAGTTCCAAAACAGGAAAATAACCCTATTTCTTAAGTGTTAGTAATATGAGAGGTAATAAAATTGATTAGATGTTAAAATACACAAAGTATGAGATGGTTAAATCAGACACACAAGAATTGGAGATTTTAACCTGTATCAGATCTTCCTGTACACCAAGGGATAGACATAACTAACTTTGAGACACAATGAAGCGTGAAGTCTGAGACCACCTGGCACTCATACCTCACTGCGCCAGAATGTTCCCTAGCCCAAATTAAATACATGAGATCTCTAGATGATGTTACATAAGATATTATGATACATGAGATCTCTAGATGCTGTTACATAAGATATTATGTTACAAAGGGAACTATTTTGATCATAAAATATCTCCATGTTTTACCTTCGAAGATATATAACTGTCATTGATATTTTTAGTGGGTCATGCTCCAGAAATTCATGAATTTCAGTTTGGTTCACTATAAAAAATCTAAGTTGACCAGATATAACCTGCTAAAAGCATTCTTTCAATAATGCCTCTTCCTTATACTAGTAAATGCTATCAACAATTTATGTTAGCATGTTTTTAAAAAGACCTATTAGTAATTTTTTTCTTTGTATTCTCACTCTTGGTGTTCATATGATAGAAAAAAATAGGTTATAGGTCAGCTTCGAATCCTTTCTTTCCCATTCTTCACTTTCAAATATCATTTCCTAAGCACTTTATTATGCTAGCCTTTAAACTATAATAGCTCAGGCAGCTAAGAATTGGAAAATGGAAGCGAATTACAATTGGAGACATGGCATGGACATTAAGCCTGGAAATCAGAAAAAGGTGGACTTGAAGCCTAATTGCATGCACACTAAATGATATGAAAGGGTTATCATCTGCATAATGGAGACGATGATACATGGGCCTCATACATTTCCTTAATGACTAAGTAAAATAATATAACAAAAATTTTTAGCACAATGTTATACTCTTAGGAAAACCTGAGAAAAAGTTAACTATTATTTTGTTATAGTTTTGAAGGTGATAGGGCATGGTTATTGGTGACCTTGAGAGACAGAAAAATTCAGAAGAGCATAAAAGAAAGCAGATAACTACTGCTCATCAATATCCAGCTCTCCTCTATACTGGGGCATATGGGATTCTTGTACTCCTTCATCTCCTTGAAGGTAAGTGCATGTGACTTGTCCTGGCAGCTGAGATTCTATTTCTTAAGCAAGAAGTGACATAGCCATTCCCAGGTGGAAGCACCTATGAGCCGGTGCTCACCTCTTCAGCTGACTCTTCCCAAGATTCAGTGACCATGGAAGCACTTACTGATGTGGAGGTGCCTATCAGTAACACTCAACGGAAGCAGCCTAGAATATCCTGCTAACACATCTTGTGAATGTGAGACAGCTGTCCCGAGGATTCACAAGGTACAAAATGGACTATCTTTGTGTGAGACCACACTATTTCTGAGGCTACTTCACTGAGAGTGTTTATTATTACAGAATAATGTAGACTATTTTGACTCATACAACTTGTATCGAGAGAAAATTCAGCAAATTTCTATAATTAAAGTAAGGTTGTCTGAATTTATGTGCATGCATTTTATTGTCATTTACATTTCATGCTTCCCAAAGTACAACCCAGCATACAATGTAATGAAGGAAATGGCTAAACATGCATACAGCGAATAGCCAAATTTCTTCTTGCATTTTGTGATTTCAATAAAAGTGGTATAAATGTGGTATTGTACTTAGTGTATTAAGTAGCTGATTTTGCAGACTGATTTTCATCCACAATATGCCCCTTGCACAAAGAGAACACTGCTCAGAATACGTATTGACAAATGCCTGATCCTTTCTAGTCATGATGAATAGAATAGGTTGTCATGAAAAATTGCTATTTTCTAGAACAGATTTTGAAAATAAAAGCCAATAGAGAGAATGTCAACAATCCTTGGGCTTTTCAGTTGACGATAAGTAGAGATCAATACCTTGTATTTAAATGGACATGCATTACACCTGCTATATTCTTTCTACATTGATGTCAACTTGGCATTTCCCTAGAAATTTTTCTTACAAGAAAAGCAATATTGTATCCTTTTATTCCTTCTGTCCTGAGTCTATATGCATGCTATTTCTGTAGAAGGTTTCTACAGAAGAACCTTTCTATAGAAGGTTTTAACAGCCAGTGCTACAAACTAAAATTTGAATAAAAGAGAAAGTAATTTCTTGTTAATACATTACTTTTTATTATATTTGAGATGAGAAGTTTAATTGGAATATTTATTAAGAGAGGTAAATTGTCTCAGATCATTTCAACACCTTACATGAAATATATGTACATATTTATTTCTATTTTATGTGAATAGTATGATTAACTGCCAATCATTTAGAGTTATTTATACTAAATGCTAGATTATTTTTATGTAGTATTTAAATCTATTTCTTCAATCCTAAACCAAAAATATATATTTGATTTTCTTTCAATATCTTTGTTACTTATGACTCTTATTAAGCTCAGGATTTAATGGTCCTGGTTCTGTTCCTGACACCTTATCAAATTTGTGCTGGAATTTTTTCTTGAGCAAACTGCCACTATATTTCAGAATGCAATGCCCTGCCTCATCTCGTGGTCACTCCTGCAATTCCCCACATCTCACAGCTCCACCATCATTTGAAATGAGACTTTGCTAACTTCTAAAACAGTTTCACTGTTCTTTCATTCTTATCTTCCCACTTCTGGTCAAGATAATATAAAAGTTTACCTTTTACTTTTAGATTTTGAAGCGTTACACGATTCTAAAGAATTTTGTGTAACATATGTGCTGAGGGTTGCCCCTCATTGTGTCAAATTTTTCACAAATCTATTTTAACTTCAGTTTCAAGATGGCATTGTGTCCAAAGGGGCTGGGCATGTAAAAGAGTCATGCGACACTGGAGCATGTCGGGTAGAAAAAAAGCTCCGCTAGGACCATGATGTCTGGGGTCCCTGGAGGTCCTAGCAGAGAGTACGAGATACGTGTTACGGTCATTCATCCTCCTAGAGAAACACTGGAAAACAATATCATATCCAGAGAAAGGACTCGAAAGGAACCTAAAGATGTGGCCTTAAAGTCACTTCCTCTATGATGTGAGCATGACAGACTCTATCAGCTCTATTGTTTTAGTGCAGTTGCTATGAAACTATTCTATTAAATTAGAATAGAAATTTAATATTCTATTCTATTCTATTAAAAGCCAAGACCCTCATCAGCTGATGGGAGGAGCTGGGTCTTCTTCTATGTGCCAGAAATTTTAGCCAGAGAGCTAAAAGCTTCTCCCAACGCTCAGCAGGAAACAGAGGGCATTTCTTCAGCTTCTGTGCAATTGTGATGGGGGAAGGGGCAGGGAACGGAGTCACAAAACAAGTATACAACACAACCAGCCTACCCTCTAGGTTGGGTTGGGTATCCAAACAGCTAGAGAGAGGGAGGCCAGGGAGAAAAAATGGGACACTGACCCCAAAGAAGACACAGGTAAGGGCCACAAATCTAAGAGACAGAGGGAGAGAGAGGAGAGAAAGAGACCATTCACAAATTGAAGGAGTTTGAGTGTAACACACACACACACACACACACACACAAACATATCTTTCTAGGGATTTAAAAAACAAAAAAAATAAGATTTTCTTACTATATAATTCAGTAAATGCACTGGAGAACAGCTTGGTCACCGTTGAAACCAAGGTCTGCAAAATCAAGTTAAGAAACTATTTTGAGGCATACAGCATAAAAAAGGGACTTCTGAAGGACATAAAGGAAACTTGGAAGATAGTGTAGGGTAGTACCAGGAAAACAAAATGTTTATAATAGGAGCTTCAGAGTGAAGGATCGCATATACAACTATCATCATGAAAAAGAAAAAAATCTAACCTTAGAGTATGTAAAAATTCAATGAAGACATTCCTCATAGAACACTGTTTGAGAGAAAGCTCTAGCCAAATGAAGAAACAAAAATACAAAGCTAAAGAGACAAGGATTTGTGAAGTTCAGAGAAGAGGAAATATTGGAGAATATGATGTGGTTTAATATGACACTTGAAAATGATGTATTCTGCAACTGTTGGATGAGCAGTTCTAAAAATGTCAATTAGGTTAAGGTGACTGATAATGTCCTTAGGATCTACAATGAGTTATTTTTTTTCTCTAATTGTCCAATTAGTTACAAAGAAACATGCATGAATATCACCAACCATGTCTATTAATACCTCCAAAATGTGCTGTGGATTTGTCTGTTTCTCCCTTAAATCTTGACAGTTTTGGCTTCCTGTTTTAAAGCTCTCTCATTAGACACAAAATACAGTATTTATAACTTCTTTATGTTTTGGCAGTTTTATCATTATAAGACCTCTCTCTCTCTTTTTCTCTAGTAACATTCTTTGCCTTGAAATCTAGTTTGAATCTTATTAATATAATCTCTCTTCCTTTCTGATGTTTATTGTTTAAGGAAATATTATTTCTAATATTATATTTTCAACCCATTTATGTTTGTGTGTTGTAAACTCTTCTCTTGTGGACAGAATACAATTGACTTTTCCCAAATTTATCCTGATAATTCCTGTCATATGATTGGATTATTCAGTTTATTGCATATAATATCATTATTGATATGATTGTTTTTAGGTGTGCTATTTTGCCATTTGTTTCTTTTTTATTTTTTGTTTCCCTTTAGTCATTCTTTTAAAAGTTTTTTTGATTATTCCATTTTATTTAGTGTATTGAATTTTTAGCTATTTTAAAAATCATTTTTAGTAGTTTCTCTAAGAATTAAAATATGAATTTTTAAATTAGAGTCATCTTGGAGGTATTATTCAATTACTTCAGGTAAAATATAGGAAATTTCAAAGAAATATATTTTTATTTCACATTCCCATCTTTAGTGCTTATTCTCATGTATGTTATATCCATAGACATTATGAACTAAGCTAAACTAAACAAAAACACTTTATGCTTTAAAAAAATCATATATTTTTAAATGAGATGTATAGATGAGATGATAGGTGATTGATAAATAGATGACATAGATAGATGGCATAGATAGACAGATGATAGATAGATGACATAGATAGATAGATGATAGATAGGACACTAATGGCTTCAGTCAGACAGGGTTTGGTTTGGATTACTAAAGCAGACTTATAGGACCCCGAAGAACAGTGCCTATGAAACAAGTTTACTTTAGGAAAAGGATACAACATAGCAACTGCACTAAAGCAAGGACATGAACAGCAGCCAGAGGCTGCCCCACAAAGCAAGACCCACAGCACTCAGAGTGGGCCCTAAGAGTCCTCCCCTGAAAGACCTTATAGATGGATGCACTCTCTTATTCAAATCCAGAATCACTGACATGCACCTGGATACCTACAAGTCTCAGCTAGGGCATTTTAAACCTATATATTATTAGTTTTTAAGGCTTCAGTAAAAAAAAAAAGAAAAAAAAAGATTGAGTGGCTTAAATAACAGAAATTCATTTTCCCACAGTACCTGAGGCTGGAAATTCAAGGTCAAGATGTCAGCAGGGCCAGTTCCTTTTGAGACATTTCTCTTGGCTTGCAGATGACCATCTTCTTGTGTCTTCACATGGTCTTTCCTTATTGAACATCTGTGACCTAATCTCCTCTTCTTATAAGAAGAGATTCGTATAAGGATGCAGGTCATATTGAGTTGGACACTATCCTACTAACCTCATTTTAACTTATCTAACTCTTAAAGGCCCTATATCCAAATACAGTCACATTCTGAGGTACTAGGAAATAGAACTTCAACAAATGAATGTGAGGAAAACACAGTTCAGCCCAGAACACCCTGCTCATCATGTGGGCATAGTCTTGCTATCCAACCAGCCTCACTGCCAGAGCCCTCTGGAGACCTTACCTGGATCAGTGCAAATCCTTGATCCCATTACACAAACTACCTCCAACCCCACCTTGCCCCCATGATGATGAAGCACACTATTAATCAGAACATTTAGTGCCTTCACTAGGCACCAGTGCTGTGCAGGGACAACACTTATTTCAACAAAAGAGTCAGGTCAATTGAAGCCTTCCTGTTGTGATTAACCCTCAGTGAGGAGTGTGTGCATGTGTGCGTGTGTGTGTGTGTGTGTGTGTGTGTGTGTGTATGGGAGAGTGTTTGTGTATGTGTGAGAGAGAGAGAACACATTTCTAGATCAACACATTTCTAATTGTTACCCATGGGATGATTTGCCCAGCCACTCCACTTACCATGATCAAAAGCTGATCTTCAGTTTTGACTGACCTTGCAAGGTACAGGGGAGAGAAGAAAAAAAAAGCTCATCAGAATGGGAATTCCAACAGGAGATATCTAAATAAAGGTGGGACCCTATGGAGCTGGGTTCCCTGATAATGGATAATCCCATTTTAATACAACTTCTTCCCATTAGTCCTTTTCCCAGGTGACTACAAAGGAAGTTGCCTTATTCAGGGCAAACCAGGGGAGAACAAATACATGTATGTATGTTTGTTCTACATACATACAAATACAAATATATTTGTGTGTGTGTGTATATATATATATGTAAATATGGATAGATTTACAACCACAAGACTGTGTTTGTGCATTGTGAACACTTACTTATTTAATATAAGTGGTCCAAAACATCTGTGGCCATACGTTGAATTTAAAGTGGTTCCAATTTAAGATGTCAATAGGCACCAGGCAGAGACAAATTCAAATGTTTCCCAACTGATGACACCTTGTCCTGTGCCTTAAACAATCCCCACAAATAAAATTAGCAGCTAAGTAATTAGACGTCAAGGAATCAAGACACAATGACTGATAGTAATAAGAGGAAAACAGTTTAAAAAACAGATGTAAAACTCTTTTGATATGATATTTATCAGACATATATGATAAAGCAACTGTATTAGTCTGTTCTTACACTGCTATAAAGATACTACCTTAGACTGGACAATTTATAAACAAAAGAGGTTTAATTGACTCACAGTTTCACATGGCTGGAGAGGCCTTAGGAAACTTACAATCATGGTGGAAGGTGAAGGGGAAGCAAGGCACATCTTACATGGCAGCAGGAAACAGAGTGGGGGAGGGGTGAAGTGCCAAACACTTTTAAAACCATCAGATCTTGTGAGAACTTCCTGTCATAAGAACAGCATGGGGGAAACTGCCCCCATGATCCATTCATGTCCCACCAGCTCCCTCCCTCAATCCATGAAAATTACAATTGGAGATAAAATTTGGGTGAGGACATAAAGCCAAACCATATTATTCTGCCACTGGCCCCTCCAAAATCTCATGTCCTTCTCAAATTGCAAAATCAATTATGACTTCCCAAAGTCTTAACTTATTCCAGCATTAAGCCAAAATTCCAAGTCCAAAGTCTCAGTGGAGACAAGGCAAGTCCCTTCTGCCTATGAGCCTATAAAATCAAAAGCAAGTTAGTTACTTTAAAAAAACAATGAAGGTACAGGCACTGGGTAAATATTTCCATTTCAATTGAGAAAAATTGGCCAAAACAAAGTGGCTAAAGGCCCTACACAAGTCCTAAACCCAGATGGGAAGTTGTTAAATCTTAAAGCTCCTAAATCTCCTTTGACTCCGTGTTTCACATCCAGGGCATGCTGATGCAAAGGGTGGGCTCCCAGAGCCTTCAGCAGCCCTGCCCCTGTGGCTCTGCAGCATACAGCCCATGCAGCTACATTTGTGGGCTGATGTTTAGTGCCTGCAGCATTTCCAGAGGCAAGCTGTCAATGTATCTACATTTCTGGGGTATGGCCACTGTCTAGTGGCCCTCTTCTCACAGCTCCACGAGGCAGTGCCCCAGTGAGAAATCTGTATGGCATTTCCAACCCCATATTTATCTTCTGCAATACGCTTGCAGGGGTTCTCCATGAGGGCTCCACTCCTGCAGCAAACTTCTGCCTGGACATCCAGACATTTCTATACATCCTCTGAAATCTAGGTGGAGGCTCCCAAACTTCAACTGTTTTCTTCTGTATGCCCACAACTCTAACAATGCCTGGAAGCCACCAAAACTTGGGGCTTGCAGCCTCTGAAGCCATGGCTTGAGCTGTACCTTGGTCCCTTAATTAGAGTTCTCTAGAGGGACAGAACTAATAGGATAGATGTATATGTGAAGGGGAATTTATTAAGGAATATTGACTCACATGATTACAAGGTGAAGGCCCAAAATAGGCCTCTGCAAGCTGAAGAGCAATGAAGCCAGTCTGAGTCCCAAAACCTCAAAAGTAAGGAAGCCAACAGTGCAGCCTTCAGTCTGTGGCCAAAGGCCTGAGAGCCCCTAGCAAACCACTGGTGTAAGTGCAAGAGTCCAAAAGCTGAAGAACTTGGAGTCTGATGTCCAAGGGCAGGAACCATCCAGCATGGGAGAAAGATGAAAGCTGGAATACTTAGCAAGTTTACTTCTCCCATCTTACTCTGCCTGCTTTATTCTAGCTGCACTGGCAGTTGATTAGATGATGCCCACCCACATTGAGGATGACTCTGCCTCTACCAGTCCACTGACTCAAATGTTAATCTTCTTTGGCAACACCCTCACAGACACACACAGGAACACTACTTTGCATCCTTCAATCAAACTGACAATATTAACCATCAAAGGTCCACCCCTTGTCAACTTGAACTCATACACATCTCCTGAAATTATACATAATCTCCAAATAAAGACAATAATGAGGTGATAATTTGGCTAATAAAATACAGCTATCCCTTGTACAACCAGAAGCACATTAATCCTTAACCTAAATGCTATCACATAAAGTTAACAACACTTAAATGCTAATATGAAGTCAACAAATCTTATGTCACATGAAAAGGAAAAAGAAATGAGATAAAATTAAGATTTTTTTTAGTAGAAGTGTATACATGCACAAACCTATTCTTAACAAAATAAAAAATATATTCATGACAATTACAGTCCTTGTTTCTGCAACTGGTCACATTGTCATGGCTGGTTTTAATGACTACTTTCTTCTGCTACCCATTCTGTATTCCCTTTGCCTTCTGCAAGCACCTCAGGGGGTCATGCTTTTTTACTTCTGGTGGAGTGACCCAAACCTTCATGCCTGAAGAGTCTGGGCCATTTGTAGTCCTGCCTGGGTTGGGCCATTGTAGTTTCCCATGGACCTTAATCACAGGGCCTGGTAATACTAAGAGATGCCCTATGGAATCTCCTGTATTTTATACATACTCTTCCTTACTCCATTGTGGAATAGTAGATTGATTTCATCTTGATAGTCTGGGTCAATCTCCCTAACCAACACTGTAAGATATTTTCCTAGTACAAGTGTATACATGCACAAACCTATCCTTAACAAAAGAAAAATTATATTCATGACAATTACAGTCTTAATTTCTGCAACTGGTCACGTGGTCAGTTATTAGTTATTCCTCCTACCCTTAGGGGTAGGAGGAGCCCAAAGTGCCCAGGTGGCAATTGTAACTTTTGGTTTAATGGAATCATTGTTGTATCTCCTGGTGGCAGCATTCCTCTCTCTGAAACTAAGACTTTTAGGCCAACAGAACATAAAGTCAAGGAAACAGGAAGCAAAAATTTTGCTAGTGGGTCACTAGGGGTGATGGTGAGTGGCGGCACTTCCACTTCCACTCCTTGATTCCTGGACCCATGAATCCTGACTATGGGAGAAAAAGCACCATATATTGCATGCTGATTCAGAGCATACACAACCTCCTGGAGACCTTTGCCCCAGCCCTGCAAAGTATTGTTACCTAGTTGGCATTGCAATTGTGACTTTAAAAGACCATTTCACCAATCTATCAATCTAGCTGCTTCTGGATAATGGGGAACATGATAAGACCATTGAATTCCATGAGCGTGAGCCCACTGCTGCACTTCTTTAGCCGTGAAGAGGCAATGTTATGTGGAATACCATGATCATAGATAAGGCATTCTGTGAGTCCATGAACAGTAGTCTTGACGGAAGCATTGCATGCAGGATAGGGAAACCCATATCCAGAGTAAATGTCTATTTCAGTGAAGACCAACTGCTGCCCTTTCCATGGTGGAGGAGGTCAAATAATCAACCTGCCACCAAGTAGCTGAGTGATCACCCCAAGAAATGGTACCATATCAAGGGCTCACTCTTGGTCTCTGCTGCTGGCAAATGAAGCACTCAGCAGTGGCCGTAGCCAGGTCTGCCTTGGTAAGCGAAACTCCATGTTCCTGATCCCATACATAGCCTCTATTCCTGCCACCATGACCATGTTTTTCATGGGCCCATTGGGCAATGACAGGGGTGGCTGGGGAAAGAAGCTGAGTGGTGTCCACAGAGTGAGTCACCATTTGATTATTAAAATCCTCCTCTGCTGAGGTCACCCACTGATAAGTATTCACATGAGATACAAATATCTTCACAGTTTTTGACCACTCAGAGAGGTCCATCCACCTACCTGTTCCCCAAATTTCCATGTCACCAATTTTCCAATTATACTTCTTCCAAGTCCCTGACGATCCAGCCAAACCGTTGGGTACAGCTCATGGATTAGTATATAATCACACATCTGGCCATTTCTCTTTTCAAGCAAAGTGCACAACCAGGTGTATTGCCAGAAGTTGTGCCCACTGAGATTTCCCTTCACCACTGTCCTTCAGAGATGCCCTAGAGAGGGGCTGTAGTGCCGCAGCTCTCCACTTTTGGATGGTGCCTGCATATTACGCAGAACCATCTGTAAACCAGGCCCTTCTATTCCTCTGTCAACTGATCATAGGGAACTTCCCATGAGGCCATCAATGCAGGCTGGGGAGAGAAGGCAGGGTGGAATGAGTGGCAACCATGGGCATTTGAGCCACTTCCTCATGTAATTTACTTGTGCCTTCAGGACCTGCTTGAGCCCAGATCACGTATGTACCACTTCCATTTGATGATGGAATGCTGCTATGCATGCCCAATTTTGTGGCTAGATGGGTCAGGAAGCACCCAGTTTATGATAGTCAGTTCAGGTCGCATGATGACTTGATGACCCATAGTCAAGCGTTCAGTTTCTACCAAAGCCCAGTAACAGGCCAAGAGTGGTCTCTCTAAAGGACAGTGGTTATATACAGAAGATGGCAGGGCCTTGCTCCAAAATCCTAGAGGTCTCAACTGTGAGTCACCTATAAGTGCCTGCCAAAGACTCCAAACAGCATCCCTGTCTGCCTGAGGGATGCACCATCAGATTTGCTGGGTCATATGGCCCAAGTGACAGAGCAGCTTGCACAGCAGCCTGGACCTGTTGCAGAGACTTCTCCTGTTCTGGACCCACACAAAACTGACAGCCTTTCAGGTCATTCAACAAATAGTCCAGAGTAACACACCCAAATGAGGAATGTGTTGCCTTCAAAATCCAAATAGGCCCACTAGATGTTGTGCAACTTTCTTAGTTGTAGGAGTTGCCAAATGCAACAACTTATCCTTCACCTTAGAAGGAATATCTCAACAGGCCCCACACCACTGGACCCTTAGAAATTTCACTGAGGTAGAATGTCTCTGAAGTTTAGTTGGATTTATTTCCCATTCCTTGGCATGCAAATTTCTCAGTCCAGTGCAGTGCATTTGCTACATCTAGCTCAATGGGTCAAATTGGCATAATATCATCATTGTAACGGACCAATGTGATGTGTTTTGAAAGTGAAAAGCCATGAAGATCCTTGCAAACAAGATTATGACACAGAGCCAGAGAGTTGATATACCCCTGAGGTAGGACAGTAGAGGTATATTGTGGCCTTGCTTCTGGCAGGCATTATAGACAGGAATGGAGAAAAAGGCATTTGCCAAATCAATGGCTGCATACAAGGTACCAGGAGATATGTAAATTTGTTCAAGCAATAAAACTACATCCAATACAGTAGCTGCAACTGGAGTCACCATTTAGTTAAGCTTGTGATAATCCACTGTCATTTCCCAAGATCCAACTGTCTTCTTCACGGGCAAAATAGGAGAATTGAATGGGGACATGGTGGGAATCACCACTCCTGCGTCTGTCAAGTCCTTGGTGGTGGTACTAATCCTTGCAATCCCTTCAGAGATGTGATTTTATTTGATTTACTATTTTTCTAGGTAGAGTCACTCTAATGGCTTCTATTTTGCCTTTCCCACCATAATAGCCCTCGCCCTACCAGTCAGGGAGTCAACGTGGCGATTCTGCCAGCTGCTAAGTATGTCTATGCCAGTTATGCATTCTGGCCCTGGGGAAATGACCACAGGATGAAACTGGGGACCTACTGGACCCAGTGAATGTTGAACTTGTCCTAAAACTCCATTAATTACCTTACTCAATAAGCCCGTACTCTAACTGAACTGGAGAACCACAATGATGTTTTGGTTCCCCTGGAAACAACGTCAGCTCAGAGCCAGTGTCCAGCAGTCCCTGAAAGCTTTTATCATACCCCTTTCCCCAACGCACAGTTACCCTGGTAAAAGGCCAGAGGTCTCCTTGGGGAAGGATAGGAGAAAGATGAACAATATAAATTGTCGGTATGTGTAGTGGAGTCCTTCCTCAAGGGGACCCAACTTCCACTTCATTCAAGTGTTTCTGGGTCTGTAAACTGGTTCAAGTCTGGAAATTGATTGAGGGGTCGTGATTCTCTATTTTTATAATTTAAATTAGTGTTTTGTCCACTCGACCTGGAAGTTTTCTGCTTATACGAATTAAGTAAGAATGCAGTAGGCTTCCTATCAATTTCACTTCTAGGAACACCATGATTAATTAGCCAATGCTAAAGCTCTGCATGAGTCAGACTATTCTGATTGCTGCTTTATCTATGCTGTTCATTACAGTAACTACACCCACATTGCCCTTGATGATTGAGTGCCACCACTTGGCCCCTGCCAGCTTGGGATCCAATTATTCCCATTGCTTTTAAATTTTCGAATTGAGTAACTGTTGTTTCCACTATAAGATCTGCCATACACAGAAGAGCAATCACAGAGCTCTTCAAAAACTCAGGTGCTCCTATCAAAAATCAATTTCACAAGGTTATGATCATGGATATGTCTTCTGGAACCTCCCAGCTGGGATGAGTAGGTCTAAAGTGACTAATCCACATCACCATCCCAGTCTCCCTAAGCTTTGGATCTCTTCCTCTACATTAAACCAAGGGAGATTAGACATTCCTAGCTCACTCACAGTGGGCCATTTATTTATTCACATTTCAGCTAACCAAGCTAATAAACTATGATAACTTTTTTTTAACTCCCCAACCTGCAACATTAAATTCAGAGTCCATGCTAAGTGGGCCCATATCAATAAATTCAGCCTGATCCAACTTTATGTTCCTTCCATCATTATCCCACACCCTTAATATCCATTCCTATGCCTGTTCTCCAGATTTATGCTTATATACATTAGAAAACTCAAGAAGTTCTTTTGAAGTGTAGCACACCTCCTCATGAGTCACACTCTGAACCTCACCTCTAGGAACCTGCCAGGACTTGAGTCTAGTCTATAAGCAAATAGGTGTGTTGAGGGTGAGTCCTGAGGAGAATCACCTGGCAACTGCCTCAGAGGAGGCCATCACTGTTGCCTCAAGCAGTGCATGGTTTATCTTATCAGACTAAGGTGAAAAGGCTGATGGCAGCATGGGTGGGGAGGGTATGTTTCCACCACTGGGGGTGGGGGCAAAAAAGCTCCTGTTTCCTCTGGCAAAAAGGCCTCATTAGAATTTACAAGCTCAGTGTCTTCAACTTCATTAGGGTCTTCCCACACACCCCCATTTCAAGTTGCAGGGTCCCATTCTTTTCCAACCAATGCCCTGGCGAGACTGAGAAAGCACTTTTCATTGATGGTCAGCCACTCGCATGAAAAGAGCTTGTGTCTGATCTTCCACAATTTCAGTCCTTTGTCTACAGGAAATAAGACTCTCACTCAAGGCAACTGTAGAAGACTGGAGGCTCAGTATGTGCTTCTGGAACTGGGCGTAAGAATCCCTGAGCTCGTCCTTTTCTTTCATAATTTTCTTCAGCAAATTTAGGAGCAACTAATCAATTTCATTATATTCCTTGGTTCTCCACATACGGTTGAAGGTACTATGTATACAGTCACTAAACTTCTTGCCTCTCAAGAGTGGTAAATCAGAGGTTTTAAATGCATTTATTTTGAATAACTCTTTAAACAGTTCATGTCAGGAACTGTCAGTGTTCTCCATACTATTAAAAGTAGAGACCCTAGCATTTTGGGTCTAATTAGATTAAGCAGCCAACTTCAGAAATCCCAAAACCAGCAACAAAAAAATCCACTCTTAAAATTCTGTTCCTCTAGAACCACTCCCAGTGCCAAAATCTGTATTAGTGTCCTCTAGAGGGATAGAACTAATAGGATAGATGTATATGTGAAAGGGAGCTTATGAAAGAGAATTGACTCACAGGATCACAAGGTGAAGTCCCACAATAGGCTGTCAGCAAGCTGAGGAGCAAGGAGGCCAGTCCAAGTCTCAAAACCTCAAAAGTAGGGAAACTGACAGTGCAGCCTTCAGTCTGTGGCCAAAGGCCCAAGAGCCCCTGGCAAACCATTGGTTTAAGTCCAAGAGTCCAAAAGCTGAAGAACTTGGAGTCTGATGTTCAAGGCAGGAAGTATCTAGCACAGGAGATAAATGAAAGCCAGAAATCCCAAGAAGTTGACTTCTCTCACCTTCTTCTGCCTGCTTTATTCTAGTTATGCTGGCAGCTGATTGGATGATGCCCATCTACATTGAGGGTGGGTCTGCCTCTCCCAGTCCACTGACTCAAATGTTAATCTCCTTTGGCAACACCCTCACAGACACACTGAGGAACAATACTTTGCATCCCTCAATCCAATCAAGTTGACAGTTAATATTAACCATCACAGCCCCTTTTAGTCACAGATGGAGCTGGAGCAGCTGGGACGCAGGTCACCATGTCATGAAGGTGCACAGAGCAGTAGGGCCCTTGGCCCAGCCCACAAAACCATTTTTCTCTCCTAGGCCTCCAGGCCCGTGATGGAAGGGGCTGCCACTAAGGACTCTGACATGCCCTGGAGACATTTGACCCATTGTCTTAATTATTAACATCTGACTCCTTGTTATTTATGCAAAGTTCTTTGGGCTTGAATTCCTCCCAGAAAATGTCTTCTTTTTTTCTTTTTTCCACATGGTTAGGCTGCAAATGTTTCCAAACCTTTATGCTCTGTTTCCCTTTTAAAAATGTGTTCCAATTTCAAATCATCTCTGTAAATGATGCATAAACCTGAATGTGTTCAAAATTAGTGCTTTGCTGCTTAGAAATTTCTTCTGGCAGATATCCTAAATCCATGTCTCTCAAATTCAAAGTTCCATAGATCTCTAGGACAGGGACAAAATGCTGCTAGTCTCTTTGCCTAAGCATAGCAAGCATGACCTGTGCTTCAGTTCCCAATAAGTTCCTCATCTCCATCTGAGACCACCTTATCCAGTACTTCATTATCTATGTCACTATCAGCATTTTGGTTGAAAGCATTCAATAAGCCTCTATGAAATTCTGAACTATCCCACATCTTCCTGTCTTCTGAGCCCTCCAAACTGGTCCAACCTCTGCCCATTACCCAGTTCCAAAGTTTCTTTCATAATTTCAGGTCATTTTTATAGCAGTACCCCACTCCCAGTACCAATTATCTATATTAGTTCATTCTCACACTGTTATGAAGATACTGCCTGAGCCTGGGTAATTTATAAACAAAAGAGTTTTAATTGACTCACTGTTCCGTATGGGTTGGAGAGCCTCAGGAAACTTACAATCATGGTGGAAGGTAAAGGGGAAGCAAGGCAAGTCTTACCTAGTGGCGGGAGAAAAAAAGGGCAATGTGGGGACTGCCAAACACTTGTAAAACCATCAGATCTCATGAGAATTCACTCACTATCATGAGAACAATATGGACAACTCCACTTCCATGACCTAATCACCTCCCACTTTGACACATGATGATTACAGTTTGAGATGAGATTTGGGTGGGGACACAGAGCCAAACCATACCAGCAATTATCTTACTGTGATTGAATAAATGTAAATTAACTTTGAAAGAATTTCAGAAAATAGGGACTTATTAAAAATGTCTTAGCAATCCTGCAAAAACACTAACCAGAACTTCTGCAAATGAAAAACGCTAAAAATGAAGTAAAATCTTATATATATTTTTTAAAACAGACACAACCGGAAAAGAAATTATTGGATAGAAAAATACAACAAAATAATTTATTTTGTCCTCTTTGTAGCATAGAGGGCAAAGAGTCTGAAATGGAAAATAATAAAAAACAATGGAGATAAAATTAGAAAGTCAGACATAGTCTATTTCCCCAGTAAGAGACTAAAGATAGAAAAGGTGGTGGATGCAGTATTTGAAGAGAAAAAGACTAAGGAATTTTCGAATTGATAAAACAGACTGATTCACATTATCAAAAATACTAATCAAATCAGTAGGGTATTTGTATGGAAGAGGAACATTATGGTTCTTAATAATTATTCTACTTCTTCTGGTATTTTCCCATTCTTCTTAAAGTAATATGACCATGTGAATTGCTTTAGTCAATGAAATACGAGCATAGATACTGAGTGTGTCTCCAGGCAGAAACACAAGTGAGTGCTTCACCATGTGTCCCTTCTCTTTGCTGTGTGATAGTGGAAGGATGCATGTAAACAGAGACTGCTTCACCACAGATCTCAAAATAGGTGCATCACATGTGCAGAATGAGCAGCAAATCTACATTTGTTGGTGTAAAACAAGGACATTTTGGGGTGTTTGTAAAACATGATAAGCTAGTTGACTGCTACTGAAACATGAAATTAGAGAAATCAATCAGTGAAACACATGTGGATGTCAGTATGTCACACAGGCATTAGCATAATTCAATCAAAAATCAATAGATTCTTTAATGAATGGTATTGCCACAGTTGGCTGTCTGTCCAGAAGACACATACAGGGATTCTACATTCACACATATCTTAAACCATATTCTAAAGCACATTTTAGATAAATTAAAGGTGCTGAATGTTAAAAAAGTAAATGCCAACAGAAAAGTTAATGCTTACAGAAAACCTAGGGGACTAAAAATAAGGGTCGGAGCGATTCTCTTTTTAACCAAGGCTTGAAGCCCAGGCATTTTTAAAAGGAAAATTGGCATATTGAATTACAGAAAAATTTAAACTTTTATATAGCAAAAGTTACTGTGAAAAATGCCAGTAGAAAAACATGTGAGCTGGAAAAATTTATTATGAAGATGATAATGTGTTACTAGTTATAATATAAAATGACAACTACAGATTTACAAGAAGGAAACAAATAATGCAAGAGCAACTGAAACATAATGATCAATAGAAGTGCAAATTGAAAGGCCATGAAACATATGAAAAGATCAAATTCACTAGTATTCAGACAAATGTAAATAAATATACAATAATATATAACTTCGTATCAGTCAGTCTGAAAATATATAAGCTACAAAAACTATTTCCAATAGGGTATGTGTGGTAAAGAATACTTTCAAACATTTCTGATGAAAGTGAGAAACGATACTACTTTTGTTTAGAAAATAATCTGACAACATCTATCAAATTATAAAGAATAATATATATACACATATATTTTAACAATAAAACTTCACTCTTCAATTTAACCTATAGAAATTAAAGTACTAGAACATAAAGAGGTTTCTTGCAAAATTATTTGAATTAGAAAAAGAATAAACAAAATGAATATGTATACAAATATAATCTATATACATATATATATATGAAGTACTATATATATAGTACATAAGTGAAGAGAGAAAGAGAGACTAATTCATTGGGAATAGCATGCCAGGAGGGATTTCCATGAAAAAAATTAATGAGAGAATGATGATGCAAAAATCTATAAGCCTCACCACCATGGGCTAAGATGCAATGGGGCCTCAAATAAACTTGAAAGGCAGTCTAGACCACAAGGACTGCAACACCTAAAGCAAGTCCTAGGGCTGAACTGGGCTGAGACAATGGACCGGGAGAGTACATGACCTACTGAGATACCAACTGGGGTGGCTAAGAGAGTGCTGGCATCTCTCCTCCCCTAACCCCAGGCTGCACAATTCACAGCTCCAAAACAGACCCTTCTTTCCTTCTTGAGGAGAGGATGTCAAAGAGTGGGTATGAGTTTGTCTTGCATCTCGGGTACCAGCTGAGCCACAGCATGATAAAGCACCAGTCAGAATTGTGAGGCCCCTGTTCTAGGCCCTAGCTCCCAAATATTTGTAGACATACCCTGGGCCAGAAGAGAACCAAAGGAAGGAATTCACTGTCTTGAAGGAAAGAACTCCCCTCAGGAAGGATCCATCACCTGCTAACTGAGGAGTCCTTGGGCCATGAATAACCAGCAGTGACACCCAAGTATTATGTTGAGGGCCTTAGGTGAGATGCTGAAACTTGCTGACCTCAGGTGAAACTGAGGACATTCCCAACTAAGGTGGTTATAGAGTAAGACTCCTTCTACTTAAGAAAAGCAGAGGAAAAAGTAAAGGGGACTTTGTCTTGTACCTTAAGTACCATCTTGGCCACAGCGGGGTAGGGCAGCAAACAGGCTTTTAAGGTCCCCAGTTCCAGAACTTGGCTCTTGGATGGCATTTCTGGACACACTCTGTCTTAGAGAGGAGCCAGGGTGAGCCCCAGGCCAGGCAGCATTCAACACGAGCTAACTGAGGAACCTATGGGCCTAAAGGGAATGTCAACGGTGGTTTGGCTATACTTCTTTTTTTTTTTTTTTGAGATGCAGTCTCGCTCTGTCACCCAGGCTGGAGTGCAGTGGCACGATCTCGGCTCACTGCAACCTCTGCTTCCCAGGTTCAAGAGATTCTCCTGCCTCAGCCTCCCGAGTAGCTGGGATTACAGGTGCCCGCCACCATGCCTGGCTAATTTTTTTGCATTTTTAGTAGAGACGGGGTTTCACCGTGTTAGCCAGGATTGTCTCGATCTCCTCACCTCGTGATCCACCCGCCTCGACCTCCCAAAGTGCTGGGATTACAGGCTGAGCCACCACGTCCGGCCGTTTGGCTGTACTACTAATGGGCCTGAGGTGGTGGTCGCCATGGGCTGAGGCTCTTCTGCCTTTGGCAAGGGGAGGAACGAGTGGGAAGGATTGTGCCTTGTGGTTTGACTGCCAGCTCAGCTGCAGTACAGCAGAACACCAGATAGACTTCAAAGGTATTTGGCTCTAGCTCCTGGCTCCTGGTTGGCACCTCTGTATGCCCCTAGGGCCTGGGGTAACTTTCTGTCCCAAAGGGAAGGACATAGGCCTGACTAGAATTGTCATCTGCTGATTTTAGAGTGCCAGGGTTTTGAGCAACCATAGGCAGTAGTTAGGGAGTCATTAGAGCAGGCTTTGGGCAAGACCCAGTGCTGTGCTGGTTTCAGGTCTGACTCAACTCAGTCTTAGGGGTGATGGCCACACAGGTGCTTATGTCACTCCACCCCTAGGTCCAGGTAGCTCAGAATAAAGAGAGACTCTGCTTGCTTGGGAGAAAGTAAGGGAGGAGAACAAAAGTCTGTCTGGTAATCCAGAAAATTATTTTGGATCTTGTCCAAGACCATCAAGGAAGTACCTCTACAAGTCTGCTGGAACCACAGCACTTCTGGATTTGGGTTTCCCCCTAAAGCAGATACAGCTTAGATCACAATAGCCAAGTCCTTTAGAATTTCTGGAAAGTTTTCCCAAGAAGGGCAAGTAAGCCCAGACTGCAAAGACTAAAAGAAATCCCTACTTCTTCAATGCCCAGACACTGAAGAATATCTACTAGCATCAACACCATCCAGGGAAACATAACCACACCACATAAACTAAATAAGTCACCAGGTACCAATCCTGGGGAAACAGAGATATGTTTCCTTTCAGACAGATAATTCAAAACAGCTGTGTTGAGGAAACTCAATGAAGTTCAAGATAACACAGAGAAGGAATACAGAATTCTATCAGATACATTTAACAAAGAGATTGCAATAATTTAAAATACAGGAGAAATTATGGAGTTGAAAAATACAACTGAAGAATGCATCAGAGTCTTTTAATCACAGAATTAATCAAGCAGAAGAAAGAATTAGTGAGCTTGAAGACAGGCTATTTGAAAATACACAGTCAGAGGAGACTGAAGAAAAAAGAATAAAAAACAATAAAGCATGCCTACAGGATACAGAGAGTAGCCTTAAAAGGGCAAATCTAAGAGGTATTGGCCCTAAAGAAGAGATAAAGAGATAAGGGTAGAAAGTTTATTCAAAGGGATAGTAACAGAGAACTTCCCAAACCTAGAGAATAATATTAATATCCAAGTACAAGAAGGTTATAGAACACCAAGCAGATTTAACCTCAAGGTATTTAATAATCAAACTCCCATAGATCAAGGAGAAAGAAAGGTTCCTAAATGCAGCAAAAGAAATGAAACAAATAAAATACAATGGAGCTCCAACGCATCTGGCAGCAGCAGAATTTTCAGTGGAAACCTTACAGTCCAGGAGAGAGTGGCATGACATAATTAAAGTGCTGAAGGAAAAAAACCACACACACTTTACTCTAGGATAGTATATCTGGTGAAATTATCCTTTAACATGAAGGAGAAATAAATACTTTCCCTGATAAAGAAAAGCTAAGGGCTTTCATACCTCAAGAAATGCTAAAAGGAGTGCTTCAATCAGAAAGAAAAGGATATTAATGAGCAATAAGTAATCACCTGAAGGTATAAAACTCACTGCTAATAGTAAACAGAAAAGCACAGAACATTATAACACTGTAACTGTAGTGTGTAAACTACTCTTATCCTAAGTAGAAAGACTAAACCATGAACCAATCAAAAATAATAACTACAACGCTTTTCAAGACATAGACAGTACAGTAAGATATAGTGACAAAAAATGTTAAAAAGAAGAGTAACGAAGTTAAAGTGATGAGTCTTTACTAGTTTTCTTTTTGCTTGTTAGTTTGTTTAGGCAAACAGTGCTAAGTTATTATCAGCTTAAAATAATGGGTTATAAGACAGTATTTGCAAGCCTCACGGGTAACCTCAAAACAAAAAACATGCAATGGATACACAAAAAATAAAAAGCAAGAAATTAAATCACATCACCAGAGAAAAATCACCTTCACTAATGGAGGACAGGAAGGAAAGGAAAGGAAGCGAAGACCACAGAGCAACCAAAAACAAATAACAAAATGGAAGGAGCATGTCCTTATTTATGAATAATAACACTGAATGTAAATAGACTAACATCTCCAATCAAAAGACATAGAGTGGCTGAATGAATTTTAAAAAAAGAGAGAGAGAGAGAGACCCACTGATCTGTTGCCTATAAGAAACACTCCACCTATAAAGACACACATAGACTGAAAATAAAGAGATGGAAAAAGATATTCCATGCCAATGGAAACCAAAAAAAGACCAGGAGTTTTACTAACATCAGACAAAGTAGATTTCAAGACATTTATTAATATAAGAAGAGACAAAGAAGGTCCTATACAATGATAAAGGGGTCAATTCAGCTGGAGAATACAATAATTGTAAATATATGCACCCATCACTGGAGCACCCAGATATATAAAGCAAATATTATTAGAGCTAAAGAGAGAGATAGATCCCAATACAATAATAGTTGCACATTTCAACACCCTGCTTTTAGCACTGCACCGATCTTCTAGACTGAAAATCAACAAAGAAACATCAGACTTAATCTGTACTGTAAACCACATGAGTCTAATAGATATTTACAGAACATTTCACTCAATGGCTGCAGAATACACATACTTTTTCTCAGCACATGGTTCTTTCTCAAGAATAGATCATATGTTAGGTCACAAAACAAGTCTTAAAATATTTTTAAAAATTGAAATAATATCAAGCATCTTCTTTAATGACAATGGAATAAAACTAGAAATTAATACCAAGAAGAATTTTGAAAAGTACACAATTACATGGAAATTACATAATATGCTCCTAAATCACCATTGGATCAATGAATAAATTAAGAAGGACATTGAAAAGATTTTTGAAACAAATAATAATGGAAACATAGACCAAAACCTATGGGATACAATAAAAACAATATAAGGGGAAAGTTCAAAGCTATAAGTGCCTACATCAAAAACGAAGGAAAACTCTAAATAAACAGCCTCACAATACATCTTCAAGAACTGGAAAAGCAAAAGCAAAAGCAAACCAAACCCAAAATTAGTAGAAAAATGAAATCATAAAGAACAAAGCAGAAATAAATGAAATAAGGAAAATAATACAAAAGATCAATGAAACAAAAAGTTGGTTTTTTTGAAAAGTTAAACAAAATTGACAAGCCTTTAGCTAGACTAAGATAAAAAGAGAGAAGATTCAAATACATAACATCAGAGATGAAAAAGAAGACATTGCAACTGATACTGCAGATATTCAAAAGATAGTGGCTACTGTGAGCAACTATATGCTAGTATATTGGAAAATCTAGAACAAATGGATAAATTCCTAGACACATACGACTTACCGAGATTGAACCAGGAAGAAATCCAAAGCCTGAACAGACTAACAAGTGAAGAAATTGAAGCTGAAATAAAAATGTTCCCAGTAAAGAAAAGCCTGGGACCCAATGGCTTGACTGCTGAATTCTACTAAACAGTTAAAGAAATAATAGCAATACTACTCAAACTGTTTCAAAAAATGGAGGGGGAAAGAATACTTCCAAACTCATTCTATGAGGCTAGTAGGCATATGAAAACATGCACAATATCATTGATCATCACACAAATGCAAATCAAAACTACAGTGAAATATCATCTCACCGCAGTTAAAATGGCTTGTATCCAAAAGACAGGCAATAACAAATGCTGATGAGGCTGTGAAGAAAAGGGAACCCTCATACACTGTTGGTGGAATGTAAATTAGTAAAACAACTATGGATAACAGTTTGGAGGTTCCCCAAAAATCTAAAAAGAGATCTACCGTATGATCTAACAATCCCACTGCTGGGTATATACCCAAAAGAAAGGAATTCAATATATTGAAGAGATAACTGCCACTACTATGTTTGTTACAGCTCTGTTCACAATAGCCAAGATTTGAAACCAACCTAAGTGTCCATCAACAGATGAATGGATAAAGAAAAGGTGGTCTGTATACACAATGAAGTACTATTCAGCCATGAAAAAAAAAGATTCAGTCATTTGCAACAACATTGATGGAACTGGAGGACTGGTGGTCTTTATGTTAAGTGAAATAAGCCAGGCACAGAAAAACAAACATTGATTGTTCACATTTATTTGTGGGATTTAACCATTAAAACAATTAAACCCACAGAGATGGAGAGTAGAAGGATGGTTACGAGAGGCTGGGAAGAGTAGTAGTGGGGGGTGAGAGGGAGTTGAGGCTATGTAAAGTGTACGAAAAAATAGAATGAGCTGGGCGCGGTGGCTCACGCCTGTAATCCCAGCACTTTGGGAGGCCAAGGCAGGTGGATCACCTGAGGTCAGGAGTTCGAGACCAGCCTGGCCAACATAGTGAAACCCTGTCTCTACTAAAAATACAAAAATTATCTGGGCATAGTGGCGCACTCCTGCAATCCCAGCTACTAGGGAAGCTGAGGCGAGAGAATTGCTTGAACCGGGGAGGTAGAGGTTTCAGTGAGCCGAAATTGCGCCACCGCTCTCCAGCCTGAATGACAGAGCGAGACTCCATCTCAAAAAAAAAAAAAAAAAAAAAAGAATGAATGAATGAATAATGCTTAGTATTTGACAGCACAAAGGGTGACTAGAGTTAATAATAATTTAATTGCACATTTTTAAAATAACTAAAAGAGTGTAATTGGATTGTTTGTAACACAAATGATAAATGCTGGAAGGGATGGATACTCCACCTTCCATGATGTGATGGTTACACATTGCATGCCTCTATCAAAACTTCTCCTGTACCCCATACATACATATACCTACTATGTACCCACAAAAATTAAAAAATAAAAATGGGTTCATGCTATATATACTGTTTCATAATCTGGTTTATTCTATTGCATTCATCTGTGTTATTTTTATTAAAGCACTTATAGGAAATTATCTTGCACTCACTAGTAGGTAAGCTCTGTGAGAATAGAGAATTTTAACTGTCTTGCTCACTACTTTATCCTCAGTAGCTAGAAGAGTTCCACACACAAAGCAGAGGTTGAGTAAATATAAATTCTGAAAGAACAGTTATTTTTCATTTAATTTGCTCTATGTAACTTAGTGGTTAGAAGGTATATCACTATGAAGAAATACAAATTTATTCAACCACTGATCCAGTGTTTTATGTTTGATTTTGTTTCCAAAGTTTTCACTACTGACACAATGCTCTACATTCTTGTAGCTAATCTTGGTACCTATCCCTTAATATGCCCTTGATTTAAATTTCTAGATATGAGATTAATGGGTCAAAGGGTATGCATATTTTAAGTATTTTTATTTACTTTTCCATATTGAGATCTACAACCCTTTTTTCTCTTCTATCAGCTTTGCATGAGGACTATCTTGAATCTTTGCCAACACTGTGTATTACTGTTTACCAATGCCAGTTTGAAAGATGAAAAATGGCTTCTAATTTTTTATATTTGCATTGCTTAGGTTATTAACAATTTTGGACTTTATCGTGGTAATTTATGAATTGCTCTTTATATATTTGTTCAGTTTTAATGCAGTCATTGTCTTTTGCTCACTGATTTCATGAAGATTTTCAAATTATAAAAGCATTAATCATTTTCCTCTCATGTCATAAATATTCTCCCCAGTTTTTAATTTCCCTTTTACTCAAACTGATAATTTTCTAATGATCTTCAAACTTAGTTTATCAATTTCTAGCATCTCAGAAGCTCATGTGAAGAAATCTCAAGTTTAAAATAGTTTTCCTTTTACTGCCGATTTTTTGTTGTGTTTCTTGTATGTTCTTTTGAATTAACTTCTTTAAAGAAATACAATTAATTTCTGTGGATTTATACAAAATATTTGGAAAAAATCACAATACATAATTTTGAATATAACATAGATGTCAATGGAATAGTGAGGTTAGATAGCACTGCAGTTTCGCTCATACATGAGCAGTGTTGATAGATCACATTACGCCAACTCAGAAGCAGTCATCTTTACCTACTATGTGCACTTTATCCCTGATCATGCCGGTTTCTGACAACTGCTAATTAAAGTGCTAACGACATCAGAGATATGCACACAAATCTATGGGTGAAACTGAGGTAGAAGGCAGGACTCGGCACAGGAGGTAGGTCTTGACTCCAGAGGTGGGGCTCAGACATCAAACCAAATTGAGGACTAGCTAAAACAGGGACACAGCAAAAGCAGCTTTCCACAAGACACTCCCATTCGTGTGCCATGTCAGTTTACCATGGCCATGGCAACATCCAGATTTTACCACCTCTTTTCATGGCAATGACTTGATGACCAGAAGTTGCTACCCTTTTCTATAGATTTCTGCATAATCTGCCCTTTAATTTGCATGTGATTAAAAGTGGATGTAAATATGA
The DNA here is from genome assembly GCF_000001405.40 of Homo sapiens. Classification (NCBI taxonomy): domain Eukaryota; kingdom Metazoa; phylum Chordata; class Mammalia; order Primates; family Hominidae; genus Homo; species Homo sapiens. The sequence continues at coordinate 164,824,953 of NC_000006.12, forward strand.
CTGCAGAACTGCCTTCGAGCTGCTGCTCTGGGCACACTACCTGTGGGGTAGCCCCACTTCACAAGGAGCAGGACCTCTCCTGCATCAAAACCAAGCTGAAGAGGACAGCACATTTACATGGACAGCAAGATTTCAAGAAGATTTTCATAGACTGTATCACAAAACAATAATAGGATGCTTTTCTGACTCATCTCCAGTGAAACTGCATGTTAATAGGCACCTACTGTGTCCATATTCCAAAATTAGGTATGATATTCACCAGGTTGGACTTCCAAAGGGGTCCCAGAAACCTGTTTTGTACATTCTTAGTCCTCACTACGTTAAAGATACATGAGGGTAGGAATAAGTGATCAGAAGGATCATTTACTTAAAGAAAACGTCCCCTCTGTTTCCTCTGCAGTGCCCCTCAGCAAGGAGTGCCTCCTGTAAACATTTATGAACAGAGGTTGCCAGGACCCCTTTGCAGAGGTCAATATTGCATTCCCTGGAATCTTATCTATCTGACAGTGTCATGAGGTAGTGGATGTGAGAGAGAACTTGGATTTTCCCTGGATCTTCTCTGGGTAAAATATTTGGAATGGAAAGATGACCTCAACTGACGCATGGACCACAAAAGACTAAGGCACACATGGCTGGGTCAAGAATGCTGAAGGCAAAAGCTCCTCAGCTGTGGGCTGCAGGGTTCCTGCAAGACTCACAAATGAGCAAAGAGAATGAGTCAGTAGATTACGTGTCAAACCTAGACAGAGGCACCTTCAGGTGACAATCATGTCCAGGAAGGTTTTAGGACAGGATCCGTTTCCAGCCCATTCTCTACTTTTTTCTGTTCTACACCCGTAACTTTACAGGAATCAGAAAACAAAGTTCTTAAATAGGGTGGGGAATATTAGACCACAAAATCCCTTCCCTAACAACAGGATCCCTGTCTTCTAGCAAGCTTAAACCAATAGAGTTCATCTCCAATGAATTTTAGATGTTTTCTTTCTTCACCTGAATTAAACATTCTAATGATGGAACTGAGGCTATTCATGGACAGATAGAAATGACTGGAAAATTGTCTATCACTAAAGAGTGAACTGAAAATGTTTGCCTCTGTGCTCCACTTCGTTCACACGCAGGAGAAAAACTTGTCCCACGGAGTGGGTTTGAAAGCTCAGCGGGAACAGAAAAAGAGTAATTGTTTTCTGATCTACTGCAGATCCTTTTTTTTTTTCCAACATGATGGATATAATTATAACCACAGACTCAAATCAGTGAGAGTATATTCAGAAGAAAAGATTTTAAGGATGGCTACCACATCAGACACCCCATTCGGTAAAAATTGCAAGGAACTGAATTGTGGTTCATGAGTGTGTTGATTTAGGGATAATCATTGAACTGTTTAGTTATGATTTGTGTGCTTTTCTGTTTATAATGCAATCCAAAAAACTTTAAAAAATTACCTGGTTTGACAAGTCTATTTGAAAATGACTTTATATCGGCCGAGCGCGGTGGCTCACGCCTGTAATCCCAGCACTTTGGGAGGCCGAGGTGGGCGGATCACTAGGTCAGGAGATCGAGACCATCCTGGCTAACATGGTGAAACCCCGTCTCAACTAAAAATACAAAAAATTAGCTGGGCATGGTGGCAGGCGCCTGTAGTCCCAGCTACTTGGGAGGCTGAGGCAGGAGAATGGTGTGAGGAGTAGGTTTCAGTGAGCCGAGATCGCGCCACTGCACTGCAGTCTGGGCGACAGAGTGAGACTGTCTCAAAAAAAAAAAAAAGTAGTGTGCCTGGTGAAAGTTAAAACAGCTCTAAGTTCGCTGTGTTTGTGAGTGACACTCAGATACAAGGGCAGCTAAGAGCCCCTCACAGTTATCACATTCCTCGTGCTTAGAAATGTCCCAAAGTCTCACAATAGATATGCACATTGAAAAGGGGCTTCTATCACTGTAAGTTACTCGGATGTGCTCTGGTCAAGGAATAGGCCGAGGTGAATATCCGGGCCCACATGACTCAGAGAGTTTGGCAGGGAGGAGCACACCTCCACTTGTTATATAACCTCTTTGTGTAAGTTTGTGCTTGGCTTGGAGCCACTATTGTCTGTAGAAGGTATAATTGCCCTGCTGATGCTGTGCACAGGGCTTGGCTCAGTTCAGTGTGGCTTGACGTGGCAGGCACACTGGCACCCAGAGAAAGAGAGAGAACCAGAGCTGTCTGTCTTGCAGATGGACAGAGGGGAGCCAGGGCATGGGTCAGCATGACACAGCACAGCACGGCTTGCACTCATGCCCAGAGAGAGAAAGAGTTAAGCTGCTGACCCTGAAGGCAGAGGAGAGCTGGCCGCGCAGCCGTGTGTAGGAGCCGCTGTCTCAAGGAGCCAAGACAGGGTACACAGTGTAAAGAGCTAGTGTGAGAAAGCTGTTGATGAGAGCTGACGCTGAATAAAACCATATTCACCTGCAGACGACCTCCCTCTCCCTTCCCCAGTGTTCTTTCTGCCCATCCACCCACTCCCTTCAGACCACAGCATGGGCTGGACCTGGACCCCGGGATCTAACAATCAGCAAAAAAAAAAAAAGTTAAAAAAACAAACTTAAAAATTTCCAGTTAGGAACCTTGCAAGCATCTTTCCCAAATCATACCTGCTTCATCAGCACTTAAACGCCAAGAAAATCTGCAGCAATCAAAGTTAAAGCACCTTTTCTCTCATCTGGGCTGCTTCTCTTTCTGTTTCTCTTGCCCCTCCTCTGGGCAAATCAAGCTTCACTAAGTGAAGCGGGAGTCCCGCCTTCTAGCAAACAGTCTGTAGCTATAGCCAAGGAGAAATATAGCCCCAGGGATATAGATGGGAAATGAAATCACCTGGCCCCTGACTCAGTCCATCTCCCAGGCTAACTGGGAGCTACTGGATACAGGCATCAGGAAGGTGATGTGAAAGATGCCGCAGGTGAAAGAGAAGAAGAACGCGGAGCACCTGAGCAGCTGTGGAGCCTCGGATTCGTTGGAAGGCACATTCTTGGAAGAATAGGTGGGCTTCAACTGAATGTCGTCCTAACAGAATCAGGGCTCACCTTGGTGTACATTGTGAGTTTTTAGAGAAGCCTGGATTTTAAAGCAGTCTGGATTTTTTTTATTTGTATAAACTTATTGGGTACAAGTGCAATTTTGTTCCATGCGTAGATTGTGTAATGTGTAAATCAGGGTGTTTGGTGTAATAACTAACTATTAAAGTAATTTCTCATCATCCAACCCCTCTCACTCTCTCACTTTTCTGAGTCTCCATTGTCTATGATTCAACTCTCTGTGTCCATGTGTACACATTTTTTAGCTCCAATTTAGGAGTGAGAACATGCAATATTTGTCTTTCTGTATTTGACTTGTTTCACTTCAGATAATGGCCTCCAGTTCCATCCATGTTGCTGCAACAGACAGGATTTCATTTATTTTTATGGTGAATAGTTTTTATTGTGTATATGTAACATTTATATTTTATATTTATATTTCCTTTTTTTTTTTTTTTTTTTGAATGAGGTCTTGCTCTGTAACCCAGGCTGGAGTGTGGTGGAGTGATCACAGCTCATTGCAGCCTCAACTTCCCAGGCTCAAACAATCTTCCCATCTCAGCCCACCAAGCAGCTTGGACCACGGGCACACACCACCATGCCCAGCTAATTTTTTTTTTTTAGAGAAAGGTTTCCCTGCATTGACCAGGCTGCTCCCAAACTCCTGGGCTCAAGCAATCCTCCTGCCTTGGCTTCCCAAAGTGCAGGGATAACAGGCGTGAGCCACTGCCTCCAGTCACCATTTATATTTCTTGACGTTTAAATGTTGTCACCTAATTTAAAAAATGATTTGGTCCAGTGTATGTGGGCCACACTGTCATCTGTAGGTCAAATGTAGCCATGAGTGCCCAAGTTTTCATCTCACAATGCTGAAACTTGATTCAGTTGACATAGAAAAGCCTGAATTCAGCATACAAAAGATATTTGTGCCAAAATAGAATGTAAGAAATTATAAAATGTAGGGGTAGCACAGATCCCAGATGAGTCCTCCCCTACTTGTCTACCAAATGATGTCTTAAGCCAGCAGTTCTCAAAGTAAAGGCTATGGGCCCTTGAGAGTCCCAGAGACCCTTTTATGGTGTATTTATTTCTATTTCTAAATTTTCGATTCATGTCAAACAAGTTACTGCAAACTTTTTGGCTTAACACAGCACACATTTATGGTCTAACAGTGTCCATGGGTCAGGAGTCCAGGTAAAATGTGAACAGTCCCTGTCCTGGGTCTCCCAAGGCCACCATCAATGTGTTGGCAGGTCTGCCTACTGGATATTCCAGGGGAAAGCCATGTGTAGCCTCATTCATGTTGTTTGCAGAATTGGCTTCACACAGTCATAGGACTACAGTCCTGTTCCCATGCTGGGTGTTGATCCAGGGTTGTTTTCCACTTCTAGTTAGTTCTAGCATCTTCTAGTTGCTGCCTGCCTTCCTTGGCTATGACCTCCTCCATCTCCAAAGCCAGCAACAGTGGGTGAAGTTCTCATGTTTCAAACTTTCTGAGATCTGCTCTCCTCTCCCGTCCACAGCTCCTGTAATGAGATTGGGCACATCCAGGCCATCTTCTATTTTACTGTCCGCATAACACAATCCAGGAAGTGAAATCTCAGCATGTTCACAGATCCTAAGGACTCAACTATGGAACCATGGGGGCTGCCCATAGAAACTCCACCTATGCACAAGGGTGATGTGCATCAAGACTAATTTTATAGTAATGATAAGTCATCACCTTTTTATTAACACTATGTTGCCACTTGCCCTTGGAAGCAGTCGCAGTGAATTTGCCCATCCCTTAGAAGCAAGAATCAAGTTGGTAACACCAAACGAAACTCAATGAATTCTCCATGGCCACAACCCATGATTCAAGAAAATGCTAAATGTCTTTGATAAAGAGTCAAAATGTATCAATTTATTAAATCTCAATCCTTGCATCCCATCTTGTAATACTGAAAAATGAAATGAGAAGTATGCCTAAAGCATTTGTCGCAAGGTAAAGCACTTACAGAACAGTTTGAGAGGCAAATTGAACTGCCTGCTTTTTCATGAATACTTAACCGAATGACCCAGTCGCTTATTGCAGGTATTAATATTTGACTATTTAACTGGCATTTTGTTTAATTCGTATGAAAGTTCTTATCAAAGGAAAACAACTGATAGTATTTACTGCCAATGATAAAAATTGAGCCTTCAAGTTTAATTTAGTATTTTGGAAAAGAACTATCAATCCACCTCAGCTTAAATACTTCTTAATATTTCAGAGATTTGATAAGACCTGTGGTGATATTTAACAAATGTGATTTTAAAAAAATATTCTACAATAAAATATACCATGTTTTAAAGATCTGTAGACCTAACTAAACCAGTATTTTCCAAATGATCAAAATCATGCATAGGTAAAGATCCATTGAAATTTACAAGATAGACCAAAATAAGAACAATAAATGAGAAGCTTGTTGAAATTGCTATATATTTTACATTGCAATTCAACTTTGAGAAACTATGATTTGCTGAGTTTTGGTGTAATATTAAAGAAGAATAGTCACAATTTTCTAGGCAAGCTACATATACTTCTCCCTCTTTCAGATACATATCTGTGTGAGACCAAATTTTCCTTATAAATTTCTACTAAAACTACATATTTCAATGGAAGAAATGCAGAAGCAGATGAGAATCCATCTGTCTTCTATTATGACAGATATTAATAGATTTCAAATGGAAAACAATGCCACTTCTCTAACTGCTACTTTCTTTTAATAAAAATAGTCATTTTTCATAAAATAACCTGATGTCAACAATTATTATTGCTATTTTAAAATATATTAATAAATATATATTTTACATTTATGTTTGAATTTCAAATACAGTATTTATTAAGAAGTATAATCTTCAAAAACAGAAATTGCTTGGTGTTCTAAGTAACTTTTAAAACCAGAAAGTGTCCTGAGACTAAAATATTTCAAAAGTGGTACCTGAAACCCATTAGACCTCTCACACTAACTTAATAACCAATAAGCTACTCTCTCTTCCAGGAATTCTTCTCAACAAATTCCTCTCAACTTCTTGCAAATAGCCAACTCTTTGTGGATAGTCAAGACTCATCTTTTACATTTTATTCTGCAGAAAGCCTCCTGTGATGGTTAATATTGAGTGTTAACTTGATTCGGCTGAAAGTATGCAAAGTATTGTTCCTGGGTATGTCTGTGAGGGTGCTGTCAAAAGAGATTAACATTTGAGTCAGTGGACTGAGAGAGGCAGACCCACCATTAATCTGGGTGGGCACCATCCCCTTGGCTGCCAGCATGGTTAGAAAAAGCAGACAGAAGAAAGTGGAATGAGCAGACTTGCTGAGTCTTCTGGCCTTCATCTTTCTCCTGTGCTGGATGCTTCCTGACCTGGAACATCAGACTCCAAGTTCTTCAGCTTCTGGACTCTCGGACTTACACCAGTGATTTGCCAGGGCATCTTGGGCTCTTGGGCCTTCAGCCACAGACAGAAGGCTGCACTGCCAGCTTCCCTACTTTTGAGGTTTTGGGACTCAGACTGGCTTCCTTGCTCCTCAGCTTGCAGATGGCCTATTGTGGAATTTCACCTTATGATCGCATGAGTCAATTCTCCTTAATAAATTCCCCTTCATATATACATCTATCCTATTAGTTCTGTCCCTCTAGAGAACCCCGACTAATACGCCTCACATTCTTCTTTCCCCAAACAGCAAAAGGCATTTCTCTTCTGTGTTTTTTTTAGCATATTATTTATAAGTTAAATCATAGTACTTACCATAATGTGCTTTAATTATTGCGTGTTTGAAGGTCTACTCCACAGGACTGAAAAGTATCTGGTGGTCTGGCCTGATTTGCTTCAGGTACAGGAATTAGAACTTTTCTATGTCTATACCATCAATGTCTAGCACTGTCCTCTCACTCCATGTGGCATGTACTTAAAATATGGCATAAAAGGATAAATCTGATTTTTGTAGAATTTCCTAATAGTGTGAAAATGCTGGTGTGTATGTTATCATACTGAAGATATGTTTCTTTCATGACAGCTCTCATTCTCAGAGGACTGTGATGGTATCATGATATATTTCTAATGCTATCTGTGGTAGTAAAGATGTGTCAAAGAGGCCCACTGTTTGAATTCTTGCACCCAATGAATTGTTACCAATTTTCTGTAGTTTTGTGTGAAAAGCACTCTTACTTTGTTATTATTTCCATGATGCTACTCATCAATCTAATGCTACAGGCCCAGTTTAGTAGTGAAATGCTTAAGGTCCCATCTCTTTGGACTTTGTTTATCTTTATCTGCAGTTCATTTTCCTTATTTTAATTGTTTACCTTGCCATAGATCATCAGAAGCTAAGATACTGGAAAAGTGACTTTAAGTCCTTAATCAACAAATTATTTGTTATCAAATCTGTTGCAGCGACATTAAGTGTCCACTGCATTGACAACCTCCCAGAAGCTGCCATCTCGACGAATTTGTCCTTCACTGAGTACTTTCACAAATGTCACTCCTGACAGCGTGCACAGCAGCTATTTCAGTAGAACAGACACATATTGTTTGGAGCACAGTGGTAGCCTCGGCTTTGAGTTCTGTCGTTATTTAGGGTTCTGCCTCTTGGATGGCTGCCTTTCTGGACGAAAATGAATCATTCCTTCTCACAGTGCTGCCTGGCACACTGATGCATGCCTGCTGCTGCAGCTCTGTCTGAAGACATGGTTCCATAGGTCACATGCCATTTTTTTAAACTCATGCTCCTGAGGTGACCCCCACCTTCATCTGATGACACACAGGAGTAGCTCAAATGTCATGTTGTCAATCATCTTGTGGACATGACTGTGTCAGGATGCCCAGCCTCATTGCTTCAGGATCTTCCCACTATTGATCTTCTCTTGCCACTTGCTGTTAAGCTTCATGCGTGAGGGACTCTGGGAAAATTTCTTAAGAAACTAAAGGTCACATCAAGACAGATTCAAGTCTTGAAGGAAAAAATGGTTAGTTTTCTCAAGACTGTTGGATGTAGGAGTTTCCTTAATGTTTGTTTTCCACTTCTTAGTTTTTTTCTTACTTGTCTGAATGAAAAAGTAAGAGAGCATAATTTTGTAGCTGCTTTAAAACCATAGTATCAGAGAACTTCAGTTTTGAAAAAGGTATGTCATTGACTTCAACCTCCCATTCCCACATGAGAAAACACAGAGAGACAACGAGAGAGAAAGGAAGTGTACCATGGAAAAAATTAACATAATAGCTGCAACGTTCTCCATGAATTAGTTTGATTTGTCATTTGCAATCTTAATGAAAAATTTACAATTTTTACATGATTGTCCAAAAAATGCAATTATGCTGTGTATCAGAATTTATGTAGTGAATGATCTGAGTTTTATGGGATATTTATAGTGTTTCTTCCAGATTCCTTTGTATTTACTTTTGGATATTTAGAACCTATATTCAGATCTTCTGGGTTACATGTGATTTTCCTTCTCCCATTCAGTCTGTGCTGAATGTGTGATTGTGTGTGTGTGTGATGTGGCATAGGGTTGAGAATCTGACGTACACTTGCATTCTCTTCTGTAATAGGTAGCTTACTTGTTTTAACCAGTCTCTGCATTTTCATCTGTAAAATGGAGCTATTAATATCATCATTCCCCTCCCAGAAGCCTAACACTGCCTTTAAAAAATACAAATTCTGGGCCGGGCGAGGTGGCTCACACCTGTAATCCCAGCACTTTGGGAGGCCGGGGCGGGTGGATCATGAGGTCAGGAGATCTAGACCATCCTGGCTAACACAGTGAAACCCCGTCTCTACTAAAAATACAAAAAATTAGCCGGCCGTGGTGGCGGGCGTCTGTAGTCCCAGATATTCAGGAGGCTGAGGCAGGGGAATGGCCGTGAACCTGGGCGGCGGAGCTTGCAATAAGCGGAGATCCTGCCACTGCACTCCAGCCTGGGTGACAGAGAGAGACTCTGCCTAAAAAAAAAAAAAAAAAAAAAAAAAAAAAATATATATATATATATATATATATATATATATATACACACACACACACACACACACACACACAAATTCTATAAAATTTGGATTAAATTGTATATATGTATATATAGCCATCTATAATATTTATAACAAATTTAAGAAATTAATACTAGCTCCAAATCTATGCCCCTGCACTTACCACTTGGCTCCAAAGGCACCTATACAATGTGATGTAAATGCTGGGACTTCGTAATATGTTTTAATGTTGTTTCTAGAAAAGTCTATTTTGCTATTAATAGGCTCCAATGTAACCCCTAAATGTACTCAACTGTTTATATGAAAATAAGTAGTGAGGCAGAAAATTGCCTTTTTATAACTCTAGGAATGATGATTCTGCAAGTCTGTAAACCACTGGGAATATTATAAACAAGAAAATCCAAGAGATAGTTTTAGTACATTTGGATATATGCAAATCTAAAGAATAGCAATTTTAATTTCCTAATAAAATTCTCAAACTATAGAATTTATTCTTCTCCAAAAAAAATGCAAAAATCATGTTTTTAAGAACCACATATAAATATTAGTTAATAATTAAAATTTCAGAAATTACCATGTTAAGCCATCTGAAACACTTCTTATTATTACCTATCATCAAAAAAGCTCATTAGTGCCCACAGTATGTTACCATCAAAAATACAATTTAAATAACTTTGCTACATGAATATTTAAACAAAAACTTCTTCAACTCTAAGTTGTTGGTGGGAAAATAGCTCACATGGCTTGGTTATGACTTATTCCTTAAAAACTATGGACTTCAAACTTTTCTTCTGTGACAAGCTCCGATACAGCAAGAGGGGAGTACACACCCCACTCCTGTCTTTGAACATTTTAGCCTCTCTTTTCTAATTTTCTCTTGAACAAGAAAAATGAGAGGAAATGACTCATGTAGCTTTGAAAGATGAGAGAACAAACAAACATACAAAACAACACATAATAGATGTGAATTCTAGAAGTGGTAGAAATGGGTTATGATCAGCCTCGTTCTGATTGTTTTAGTCCTCATAGCTCTTTAAACACAGGAAAATGCTTGAATTTAGGTATTTGATTCTGGACCGTGGAGCGACTTTAGTTTTAGCCAGAGCTGATGTGAACAAAAGAAAGAATGGAGGAAAAGTAACAACAGTGAGTTGTCCAAGGGAAACAAGAGAGAGAGAAAGGCAGGGCATTTCTGAGTCCAGGGACAAAGCAAGGGCCCCTTTTCCATATGCCATGTTGTCCTGGAGCCTTGAAATGGGGGTCCACAGTTGTGAGTCATTTGTGTTAGTCATTGTGACTATGCGTCGGGAGAAAGAGGACAGTTTGCTTACAGGGCCACCCCAGGGGCACCAGTTCTTGCTGGGATCTTCAGGTTTGACTGCACCCAGGTTTAAGTGGCATTTGTATATAAGAATAGTGAAGTGTTCAAGATGTGTTTGAAATCAAAATCCAAGTGGAACAATATTGTTAGCTTTACCTGCTCTTGCTCTCTCTCTCTCTATATATATAGTCTGTACCTGGCACCTGGTATATATATATATCCCATCTCACTGATTGTTTACTTGTACTTCAAGATCCTTCAGATCAAATGTCACCTGATTCACTCACTCACCCTCTCATTCACTCACTCTACCATTCACTCATTTACTCTGCCTGCAAATGAGTAACCTGAAGTAGTTGTGTCAGTCTGTACAGGCTTACAGGCTGCTATAAAAGGATACTACAGACTAGGAATTTTATAAAGAGAAAACATTTATTGCTCACAGATCTGAATGTTGGAAGTCCAACATCAAGGCACCAGCAGATATTGTGTTTGATGAGGGCTTATTTCTCGTAGACAGTGCCTTCTTGTTGCATCTTTACTTGGTACCAATATCTTCCTTCTTTTTTTATTTTATTTTTTTAACTGCAGGAAGCCCTTTACCTTTATGACCTAATCACCTTCCAAAGTCCTTACCTCTTAATGCTATCACCTTTGGGGCTAGGTATCAACACATGAATGTGGGGGAAGGGGACACAAACATTCACACCATAGCAAGTTGCTAGTGTAAAAGTTGTTGGACTCACGAAGTCACTTGTGTTAAAACCCTGACGAATGGAGCCGGGAAAGGCCATGATGGAGGGTTCTCATTCATGTATGCCTGATAATAAGAACTCTGCAAAAGCCTCTGCAAAAACCACAAGCTTGCACAAAGGTCACTGCAACCTTACACAAAATAATATGTCTGCGAGGACATCTGCCCAGCAACCTCCTGTCCAACCTCAGACTGGTGCTCCCCTTGGTACCGATTCTTGCACCCAAGGATAATTATCCAAAAACAATTATGTAATCCTCCTCATGTCTCCTTTCTAAACCCTCACCTTCCTTTGCTTCCCTCAATATACCCATTGTATTCCCATTGCAATGCTTACTCTGGAATACAATACATACCGTTTTCTTTTCAGGAAACTATTTCTCTCTCCATTGTTCAGGGTTTTCATGAGGAATTCAAATGGGAGAATATACAGCCCTTTCTTTAAGGACATAAAAAACAACTAGGGAAGACAGGCAAGTAAATAATTAAAACAGTCCAATATGACATTTGTTGCAAGAATAGAGTGCTCACGTATGCAATAAGAATAATCAGGCGAGATAATCACACAGTGAAATATTGCTGGTCATTTTCCCCAGGGACACTCCAACACCATGCCCTGTTTCCCCACCTCCTGTCCATGCCTCCAGGGAAGTATTTGCTGGGTCATCTTTTAATCATCCATAGGATTGTCTCATTCAATGGACGATTAACCTCTTGAGAACACAAACTAAGTTTGGCCATTTTTTTATTGTCTCTACACTGAGCACAGCTCCAAACACATTTGGTAAATGAGTAAGTAAAGCAAAGGACATTAGCTGGCCTCAGTTCCCTTCAGTTAATCTCATATGCCTCTTTAAGGCATTATTCTTTGAATCTTCCCTTCTCAAAATTACTATACCTTTGACAAATGTGAAATGCAATGTGCGGCACAAAATCCTTCATACTATAGCCAAAATTAATGTACCTGGGCACTGTTCATAATTTCATCTCAGCAGAACACTGGAATTATTTCCAAAGAAACTGTTTGATTCTAGTCCGTATTAACTCTACATTGGGAGAGCTCAAATTAGGATAGAATTTAACATAAGACATGCAGCCATGAAACATCTTTCTCTCTCATCACTAAATCACTGCTGCTAAATTTATCGACCTGCTGCTCTAAGTCTGCCATCACACAAATAAAGTAAAAAGGCACTAGCTAATCCACCCTATATTAGTTTCCTATTTCTGCTGTAGAAAATTACTACATCCTTATGGCTTATAGCAACACAAAGATGTCATTATACAGTTCTGCATGTCCAAAGTTCAAATGGGTCTCAGCAGGGCTGCATGCCTTTCTAGTGGCTCTAGGAGTCCATTCATTCTCTTGCCTTTTCCAGCTCTAGTGGCTGTCAACATTCCTTGGCTCATGGCCCCCTTCCATCCTCAAAGCCACCCACAATGTCTGCTTGAGTCTTTCTCAAGCTGCACCATTCTGAAACTTATTGTTCTGCCTGTCTTTCACTCATAAGGACCTTTGTGACTACATCAGGACTGTCCAGATCATCCAGATGGTCTCCCCATCTCATGATATCTGATTAGCAAATTTAATTCCATATGCATTTTTAATTTCCTTTTGCTATACAGCATAATATTTTCAGAGTCCAGAAATTCTGATGTGGACATTTTTGGGTAGTTGAGGCTATTCTGTCTACTACACCCCCTTTCTGTGCCTGATTAGGTGTTATTTCCACGAAAGCCTGTCTGGACCTCCCTAATATATAACTTCTCACCTGTGGCATCATTGTGTTGTTAACAACAGGAGAACGGGTTAGTTCTTAGCATATTCCAAAAGAAGATAAGAGGGGGTCTCTAATAATAGAATTTGATACTGTCTTTTTATAAGGTAATTGTTTATTCCAAAAGAGAGGGCTGAGTTTGCACATGCTTGTGTATGCTTCCCCAGGACTGTCCCACATCTCCCCACATTCCCTGGGTGAGAGAAGCACTTTGTGCTTTTGCTGATACTTCAGATCTCTCAACCATGAGTGCTTGCACAGGAGTGTTTTTGGTCTTTCTCAGCTCCCATAGAGTCTTCCCATGTGTCCTCATGGGGCTTCAGGGTTGTTAGCTGCTCCTGTCCTCACCTCCCCCACAGCAGCTCTAGTAGGTTTCTTCCCAGTGCGCTATCAGAACAAATGTGTCAGCACTTTGTACCAGATGGTTGCCTTCAACAGTGAACAAAGTTCCTTAATATATCACACAGACTTCAAGAAGTGCTGGGTGCACATCTCAAAGACCAGCTGGCTGCCCTGTGAAATACAGGCAAGGGAGAAACAATTGCTGCCCATGGATGCCTGTGGCAGAGCCAAGGCAGGAGGCTGCAGAGAGCCACAGCCACTGCCATGCCATCCTTTGCTGAATTCAGCCAAGAAAATGGCACATTGTGATGTGAAAGGATCCACTCCATACCAAAATCTTAGAAGGCTAAACTTCCCACTGGTTGTCATAATAAAAACTCACAACTAGATAAGAGATCCATTTTACCTAGCTGTTTAATTGTGTTTGACTTGGGGCAAATCTCTAGAATTTTGTTTTGTTTTGTTTATTCTGTCACACAGGCTGGAGTGCGGTGGTGCAGTTTCAGCTCACTGCAGCCTCTGTATCCTAGGCTCAAGTGATCCTCCCACCTCAGCCTCTGCATCCTAGCCTTAAGTGATCCTCCCACCTCCCATCCTAGGCTCAAGTGATCCTCCAAGCTTCTGAGGAGCTGGGACCACAGACATGTGCCATCACACTCAGCTAATTTTTGTATTTTTGTAGAGACAGGGTTTCACCATGTTTCCCAGGCTGGTCTTGAACTCCTGAGCTCAAGAGATCTGCCCACCTCAGCCTCCAAAAGTGCACTAGACTTTTTTAACTTACATTTATCTAAGATGAAGAGATGGCTACCTTCTAAAGTTTTGGAGAAGAGTTTTTTGGAAAGTTGTTGGAAGGTGGTAGAACAACCAGCAAACACAAGGAACTGTTGTTCTGTTGTTTCTATCAAACATAAAACTGCCAGGCCTGATTACATTAATCTGAAGCTTGATATAAATTAGCCAGTGGTTCCCAATAAGGTGTTAAATTATTTCAAAATGTATGAGGGGATTTTGAAAAGTTTGTGGAAAATGGAATTAATAAATAAAAGGGAAAAATATAAACTTATTTCTCAACATAAGCTTCATCAAGTTCAAAACACTTTTGTAAGCAATAATACCAGTGGAGGCTCCTGGGAATGAATCATATCAGCACAGTCTTTTTTACATTATTAACTGAAGAAAAGTGAGAACACTTTACAGATTTATGTTTTAAGATTAGGAAACAAAAAGGAGCTGAAAGGAGCTAAATCAGGATGGTAATGATTGGAGGTGGAGGCCTAATGATTTCCCATTAAAACTCACAAAATTGCCCTTGTTAGATGAGAAGAACGAGCAGGAATATTGTCATGGTGGAAAAGGAGTCTCAGGTAAAGCTTTCCCAGGTGTTTTTCTGCAAAAGCTTTGGCTTTCTCAAAACACTTTCAAAATATGCAAATGATATTGTTTTTGGCCCTCCAGAAAGTCAACAAGCAAAATACCTTAAGCTTATAAAACAAAACAAAGAAAATCTGTTGCCATGAACTATGTTCATGACTGGTCTGCTTTTGCTTTGATGGAACCACTTCCACTTCTCAGTTGCCATTGCTTTGATTGTGCTTTGTCTTCAGGATTGTACTGGTGAAGCCAGGTTTCATCTCCCATTATAATTCTTTGAAAAAATGCTTCAGGATCTTGATCCCATTTGTTGAAAGTTTCCACTGAAAGTTCTCTTGTCTGCAACTGATCTGGGTGAAATGGTTTTGGCACCTATTAATTGGAAAATTTGCTCAGCTATAATTTTTCAGTCAGAATTGTGTAAGCTGCATTAGTTGAGCTGTCTATGGTGTTGGCTTGTGTTTCTGTTGTGAATCTTTTGTTCTCTTCAGTTGAGGCATGAACAAAATGATTTTTTTTCTCACAAATTGATGAGAATGATCTACCACTATGGGCTTCATTTTCAACATCCTCTTGTCTCTTTAAACAAGTTATCCATTTGTAAACTGCTGATTTCCTTAGGGCATTGCCCTGTTAAACTTTTTGTAAAGCATCAATGATTTTACCATTTTTCCACTTTAGCATCACCGTAAATTTATGTGTGTTCTTTAATTTTAGCAGAATTCATGTTGCTTTGATAGGGGCTCTTTTCAAACTGATGTCTTATCCTTCTTAGTGCCTCAAACTAGATCCTGCTTAGACATGTTATAACAAGTTAGTATGAGTTTATTTGGGTCCAAAACAATTTTAGAATCTCTTCTTAGTTTTTTCATAAAATGCATTTTTTCACAAACTTTTTGAAGACCCCTCCTATGAATGATTTTGCATTGTCACAAAGAAAAGCAATGCACTGAATATAATTGGTTGGGTCCCATCAGTGAGATTTACTGAAATTCACAGGACAGCCCTGTACAATAAAAAGTTTTTTAAGTTTTTTCTACTGGAAAATCAAATGTCCCATTAATATTCCTATTGGTGGATGATTGAGCATAAAACCTAATACTCTTTTGAAACATAAAGTGTTTTTTGCTGGGATTTAATATTTATGGGATTATTCAGAAATAAAATTATCATGTAAGTTAAATAAAACATATACTTTGGCTCAGACTTTTGTTAAAAGTTGTTTACAATTTCAAAAAATCTTAACATCAATAGCCACACCTTTCATGGTATGTCACCAATCCAGCATACTTGTATCAATCTATATTTGTAATTGCAATATGCATGACATGTTTTTATATAAGGATATCCTTATTTATGCCTCATTTCAAAATGTCAAAACCAAAGATAAAATGGATTCTAATAAACTAAAAGCTGTTTTCTCTTGTAAATTTAGGTAGGTGTGAGCATACAACTATGCCATGAATGCAGGTTATATTATCCATGCATTCTTTTACAATTATAGGTTAATTAGCTTATTGTTTAAAATATATTTTTTGAGAAGGAGAAAACTATAACGCCCAAAGGAAAAAAATATAGAATTAGGCAGAAATGAGATTAAATTTGATTTTCATATCTAAGTAACTATTTTCTATGAGCTGTCATTGACCTCTTGAAACTCTGTTTCTTAAAAATATTGTAACAATTGTGGTAATGAGATAGAAATTATGATATACAGAAAATCTTGTTTTTAAGGTAGTTGGATTTATCCATATTTTTATTTATGGTTTGTATTTATTAAGTCTTATTTAAGAAATTTTTTCCAAGTACAAAGGGTTAAAAGTATTCTTATATATTGTTTTCAAAAGAATATTAAATTTTGCTATTCGCATTAAAACTCATGATCAACATGGAATTCAATTTTTACTGATCACATATTACTTGTACTACCTTTTTAAAAAACACTTCTTATTTTCAAAGAATTATAGAGCTACAGAACAGTTACAAAACCAACACAGAAAGTTCGCTTATTTTCTTCTTCAACCTTTCCCTAATGTTAACATATTATAAATCCATAGTATAATTATAACAACCAGAATATTGATGTCATTATAATACTATTATCTAAAATCAAGACTATATTCAAATGTCAGTATGGGATAAATTTTTGCTTATCAATTGAAATGGGGTCTGTTTCTCATTTCTTACTTGAATAGTCAATTGCTTTCCCTTTATTCTGTGTTAACTGTCTTTCCCGCTGATATGACACAAGAGCTCTGATATTTATCAGGTTTTCACATATGCATGAATCTGTTTCTGGAATATGTTTCTTTTATCTTCCACTGGTGTATTTATTGATCCCTACTTCAATACTGCCTATAAAATGCAATATAGCTTTACAACGAGGTGAATATGTAATAGGACAAATCTTGTCTTGTGTGTTCTTCTTTTTCAAGGAGTGTCTTGGTTATTCCTGGTCCTTGATCCTTCCATATAATTTTGAAATATGAGATATATGGAATCTAAAGACCATAATAGGTACTCCATAATTATCTAAATAAAATATTGAGGATGAAATAAGTACACATACTCCCTGACTTAGGTTGGGGTTACATCCTGATAAATCCATTGTAAGTTGAAAATATTGTAAGTTGAAAATGCATTTAATATACCTAACCTACTGACCATCATAGCTTAGCCTACCCTACTTTAAACATACTCAGAACACTTACTAGCCTAGAGTTGGGCAAAATCATCTGGCATCACTACCGGTTGTTTACCCTCATGATCCTGTGGATGACTGGGAGCTGAGTATTTATTGCATATTGCTAGCCCAGGAAAAGATCAAAATTCAGACTTTGAAGTATGGATTTTCTGTTGAATATGTATTGCTTTCACACTGTAATAAAGTCAAAAAATCATAACTCAAACCACCATAAGTTAAGGACAGTCTGTACGAGTGTATATTAATATTTAATTTTTCAGTGGTTATAATCATTTCAAAATAGTGGATGTACATTAAAATATTTCTTATAGTGTATTATATCTTCCACTGTGTATATTACATTTCATTTGACAACAAATTGTTTAGTTATCTAGTTTTATTACATCCTTCTGGAGTTTTTCAAAATCTCTTAAATTCTTCACTAACCAAATATTTTGTATCTTCAACAAATTTTGCTTTTATAGGTATTCAAATAACCTGTTACTCATCATTAATACAGCACAGTAAACAGAAATATAAAAATGAAAACAAATCTAAGTTTTAGACTAATCAGATATGACCACTTAATTCTACTGAATATTTATTTTTTTATCTAACCAGGTTTAAATGTGTGCTGTTCTTTTATTGATAACAAGTCATTTTTTCAACATGTAATACTTAAACATTTAAACTTTATGGTCATTTCAACAATTCTCTCATTTATTTACAACAATTTAATAATACTGACACTATGCTTTAATAAAACTGAAACTTTTACCAATTTCTCAAAAACCTTAGTTAATATCAACATTGAAAAACTTTATACATGTGTCTGCATGAGGGTAATTGATGTAAAAAAAAAAACTTTATATAATTAATACATTGAATAAAAATATCAAAATGCAATGATATTTTGGCTTTCTCGTTTTTCAACCAAAAAGTATTGTTCAAAATATTTATTTGCATTACATAATTTTGGGTGAGCTTTTTGATCTCATCTTAATATAATGAAGTATAACAATCATAAATGTACAGCTAAATGAAATTTCATAAAGTGAATAGAATACATTCTGATAACCATGAAATTTGGAAAATAGAATATTACCAGCACCCAGAGCTATCCTCAGCATCTTTACTGCCCCTACTACCTTTCCAAAGGAATCACCCTATTAATTCATACACTATCAATGAGTTTTACCTTTTAAATATGTTTATTAATGACTTGGTAATCTTTTGTATGTGACTTCTTTTACTCAACTATATATTTATGAGAATCCTTGTTATTTGTTGTTGTCGTATAATATATCATTGTGTGAATAGGCCATCAATTTTTTTTATTTTCTATTATTTTCTGAGACAGGGTCTTGCTTTGTTGCCCAGGCTGGTGTGCAGTGGTGCAATCACAGCTCACTGCAGCCTCAACCTCCCAGGCTCAAGTGATTCTCTTGCCTCAGCCTCCCGAGTAGCTGAGACCACAGGTGTGCACCACCATGCCCAGCTAATTTTTATTTTTAGCAGAGCCAAGGTCTCGCTATGTTGACCAGGCTGGTCTCGAACTCCTGGGCTCAAGCAATTCTTCTGCTTCAGCCTCCCAAATGGCTAGGATTATAGGTGGGAGTCATTGTGTCCAGCTTAGGCCATTATTTATCTATTTAGCAACTAGATCTTTATAATTTTTAGTTAGTAAGAATAGTGCTGCTCTACATGTCTTTGGTTCTACATGTCTTTGGTTCATATTACTGAAATTGTATTGGGTAAATCGTAGATTTCTGAGTAATAAGGTATAATATATCCAACTTTAGTTGATACAAAGTGTTTTTAAAACTATAAAACATCAGCTCCTATAAGAAGTTTGTGAAATGACCAGTTACACCATAGCTATGCCAGCCCTTCATATGTTGTCTTTTTCATGTTAGCAATCTTAAATATGGCATATTTAATCATCTTCAGTTCAAAATAGTTTATCAATTCCATTGTCATTTCTTAATTAATTTATGGGTTATTTACAAACATACTAATTATTTTTCTAACATTCAGAGCTCTACTTGCTACTTCTTATTGATTTCTAGATTAATTTTACTGTTTTAGACAATGTGCTGTGAATGATTTTCATTGTTAGGTTGAAAGAGTTTTTATGGTCCAGCATGTGGTCAGTTCTATGCAGCGTTCTCTATACGTCAATTAGATCAAATTTATTGATATTTTTCAGATCTTTCAAATTCATACTGATTTTGTTTAATCTCATCTTTCTGTTGTATAATAAGAAAGGTACATTAAAGGATCCCAACTTGGCTATGATTTTTTTTCCTTTCTTTTAGTTCTATCTATCATTATATTATGATGTAAAACTATAATGGTAGGTTCATTCAAATTCATAATTGATCTCTTTCTTAGTAAGGTGATATATAACTTTATAAAAGATTATTCTCCATGTTATACTAATTTTACTTCCCTTGAAGTACACTTTGATATTGTTAAGCTATACCAGATTTCTTTGAGGTAGTGTTTGATTAGCTTATTTTTCCTTACTTCCAAGCTTTATGTGACTTTTGTATTTAAGAGTAGCTCTTGCAAGTTATATTTATCTGGAAATTTTTAATTTAGTCTGATAAACTTTACATTTTAATTGAAGTATTTAATCTATTTGCATCTACATTTAAATTACTAACATTTCTTTTAAGTCTCTGTGCTCCTTATGTTCTATATTTCTTTTTTTCTTCCTTGTTTTGTTTTAGATAAAAAACCAAAATTCATGTTTTTATGGTGGTACAGGCCTGTAGTTCCAGCTACTGGGGAGGCTGAGGTGGCAGGATCACTTGAGCCCAGGAGTTTGAGGTAGCAATAAGCTATTATCATGCCACTGCACTCCAGGATGGGTGACAGGGTGAGTCCCTGTCTCTAAAACTAATAATAAAATAAAATAAAAAATTTTAATTACTTTTATTATATCACTCTACCCTTTCATCATTTTATTGGTTACCTTATTAGCATGCATAAATTGGTAAAATCTAATATATATATACGTCAGTGTTTTTTCCACCTTCAGGGTTGAAATTTAGAAAATTTTAAATGTTTATGTTCTATGATTTTTGCCACTGAAGATTAAACATTAAACAGATAAAATTATGATTGTTTTATATAGTCAATATTCATTTAGATTTACTCCATGTGTAACCTTTCCTTGGTTGTTAATTATCCCTGCATTTCCATGATACCCCTTTTCCTGAAGAAAAACTTTTAGTATTTCTTTAGGTACACTGCTGTTGGCAGCAAATTCTTCTGGTTTTGTTTTTTTAGAAAATTATAAGTGTCCCCTTTACTTTTGGATTGTTTGTTTTAGGATGCTGTGCCATATTTCCTTGTGTAAGTGCATGTATGTGCCATTACAATGGGATGTCCCATGAAAACTTAATGGGCTCAGGAACAGGTCTAACGTTTTCATCTTAATCTGCAATATAGGAAGAATTGCCAATGGTTGTTAACTTCTAAGTTAATAAGCCTATGTATATTGAGGAAAACTTAATTTTACTTTGAAAGTACCACTACAGTGTTCCTTTTATTATTTAAAACTAGAAGATTTATCCACTTGTAGTTCTTCTAAGGAAAATAACCACATTTTATTTTCCTTTGTTTAGAGGACAAACCTTCCAATAGAAAAAAATAAATGATGAGTGTTTCAAGGGCCATCTGTTCTCTGTCACAACTGTTCAAGTTTGCTGTTGTCATGTGAAAGCAGCCATAGACAAGACTTGAGCCAAGGGAGAGGCTGTGTTCCAGGGAAACATTAATACAGAAACAGGTTATGGGTCAGATTTACCCTCCAGATTTGGTTTTCAAGCCCTGGTCTAAGGCCTAGTGTCTAGAAAGATCAATGAAGACAGATATTGCTTCTTTACAACGTGCAACTGTTTGCATCTATAGAGATGCAGAAAAATCATTTGGGAAGATGGAAAGTGGGGTCCGGACATCTTGTCTTTGATGTTTAAAACCATTTATGCATTTTTACTGGAGTGGGAATATGAACTGTTGGCAGAGGGTCAACCCTAAAGCTGGAAAAGCTGAGAAAAATCTTTATGGCAGATGCCAAAACTTCTAAAGATACAATGATTGTACCATGTTGGCTCTGCCTTGGGGAAAATGGAAGTTAAATACATAGCTTGTGATAGTATGATAGACTATCCGTGCAATTGCTTTTCTTGTTTGCACGTTGTGTGTGTGTGTGTGTGTGTGTGTGTGTGTGTGTGCAGAATATGTTAACCTCATTTCTGATATCCTTTCGGTATTACTTGTAGAACAGCTACTAGTAACCATTCCATTTCTTTCTATTAGTTTTCCTCCAACTGAAATTTCTTCACCATTCGCTCTGGATAGGAAACAATTTCTGTGTTTTTCTTTATCTTATGTTCATTTGTTTAAAACACCACCATTTGGGTGGTTTTTAAATCTCAGTTTTTATTGTTGTTGTTGTTGCACTGGATTGGGTATGTCTCACACATGTTTGGTTCAGGGATCAGCTTAAGGCTTGTGAAGATTCACATGCAGAAATATGAAATCCTATTCCCCAGACCTCTCCCTTCTTGATCTTCCCTCTTAAATTCAACTTATGGTACCTCTTTCCCTGGTTCTCTAACCAGAAATATAATGCAATTTTTGCACCACCATGTTGCTTTGCAGAGGTCTGTCTTTGGGCAAAGCCACAGGAAGTGAAAAAATGAGAAAAATCTCTCTGTTTGTGTCATTTGTCTCAAATGATGACTCTTTTCAATAATCTGCCTGCTTGTGTTTACTTTTCAGAGTCTTTAATCTGTCCAGAGATTATAGAGGTCATCAGGGAAGGGATAGATAATAGAGACTTGTACTGTTGGTAGTCACTGATTTTTTTTTTTTTTGAAAGCTATTTTCACTGGCAATCAAACTCCAGTTTGATAATTATTTTATTTTAGAGTTTTAGATATGGCATTTTACCATCTTGTGTTTTTCACTCTTTCTGTTAAAAAGACAGCTGTCAGTCTTATTTTTGCTCTTTGAAGGATGATGCATATTTTTTCCCTCTGGCTGCTTTTAAGATTTTTGTCTTTATTTTGGTTAATATGTGTAGATGTATATTTATTTTCTTCTTTGGAATTTGTAATAGTCCCTGAATCTATGTCTTAATATTTTTGTCAGTTTTGGAACATTCTCTCCTATTATCTCTCCAAATATTTCTCATTATTTATTTTCTACACAATTTCTAGGACTGCAGTTACAAATACTTTACACTTTTCTCCATGTCAAATATGCCTCTTGCACGCCTTACATTTTCAATTTTTTTCTCTTTATGCTTTTGACAGTATGCTTTCTACCAACCCCTAATCCTTACTTCAACTGTGAATACTTTGCAGTTAAAACAATTATTCATTGAACTCTTAATTTTGCCTTTAGAAGTTTCATCTGAAGCTTTGATATAGATTACAGGCAAAATTATCCCTATTTTCAGTCTTTTTATTGAATATGTTAATCAGAGTTATTTAAAGCTCAAGTCTGATAAACTCAATATTTCTATCACTGGTTTCTGTATTTTATTTTCTCTGAGTTCTGTCTCTTGCCATGCTTATAATTTTATTTTTTTTGAAAGTTGGACTTTATGCATCTTAAAAATGTAGAGTTTCTGGATGGTATTTTTATTTTTTGGTAAGAGACTTAGTTGAGCTTACTGCCAGTATTAAATGAGGGAGAAAATCACCCTAACCCCATCAGGAGTTGTCCTGATTCTCAGTGGGAGTCGGTGTGAGTGCTGGTCCATTTCTGCTTCCCACTTCCTTCCGGAGTCCCAGCCTCCAGGGTTGTCAACTGGCAGGATACATGTTTCCCAGGGTCATTCCACATGGCAATCCCTGAACTGCAATTTGTATCTTTCCAGTGCCATGAAAATGTTGGTAATTTTATTGAGTATCTCACTCTGTTTGCTCCATGTTGGCAAAGCTGAAATGAAGCTCGTAAGTCAATGCCAAAAGTGATCGGTCCACTGTCCTATGTCTCTGTTTCCTTCAGTGCCAGCAGACTTGGGCTTTCTTCTGGGCTAATTTTATTTCTCTGTTTAGGCAACTGTGAATTGGCAAATACATTGAAGGAGAAGGTACATAAAATATGAACTCTCTTCAATGAGTTTTATGAAGGTACACGAAATATTGAGCTCTCCTCAACGAGTTTTCTTTCTCTCCAGGACTTTGGTCCCTAAAGTCCTGGGTGCTTTTGCATCTTTTGGATGCCTTTATGCAGATGAGATGATTTCCTGTGCCTGTATTGTATGCCGCTTTTCTCCAGCCTCCCATTATCCAGAGGATTTGCTGCAAACTAGGCCCTCATAGCAGAAGTGAAACAGTGTGCTTGCATTACACATTTATATTGGCAAATTACATGTCACCTTCAGATCTATAACTTTTTAATTTACAAGGAACAAAGAAACTCAGAGGGATCATAAATTTATCAATTTGGTTTCATATGTAAAATAGAAAAGGCTGGCTTAGTCAACATTACATTTTCAGCACTTACTGAAGGTGTGTGTTTATGACATGTCCAAACAAATTTTCGTATGGTGCCTTCGGATGTTCACTAGCTTCATTTTATCTTCCTTTTCGTTGTTATCAATGACACTATAATCTCCCCAGTGGTAGGTAATCATAAATCTCTAGGATGTGTCAATTACATATGGAACGGAGGGGACAATTCTCCAGTTCAAAAGCAGAAATAGTGAGCATGTGTTCAACCAGCACTGTGTGAAGAGGCATTACAGGGGAAGCAATGTTCTGGGCCAGCGGAAGGCAAGCACACATCCCTACCTCCAGAAGCATGAAAGCGTTCACTCACAATTAGCGAATTGCCACTTCACATGATAAATACCACAGTAAAGGAGTGACTAGCACACCGTGGAGGGAGTGATCCCCACAGAGGATAAACTGATCAAGAGCCCTTAAAAATGCCCGAAGACTTCTCATGGAAGGATCTAGGTGAGCAGAGGCTTAAAAGGCACTTAGAGGTTTTATCTGTTGGACAATTAAGATAAAATGTTTTTGAGATAGAGGAAAGAGAATGTGCATCATGACAGGGAAGTAAATATGGGAAACGGCAAAAGAGTTGGTATGGCCAAACATAGGGTACTTAAATAAAAATGGGATAGGATGTCAAGTGTAAAAGACAGGGTCATGGTGTGTCTGCCATGATGGGTCATTTGGGCTTTATATAGCAAGCAATGGGAGAAAGATAAATGACTTAACAGGCAATATTACGTGATAGGTGGCAGATCACACTGACCTGCATCCACAAGTGACAGATTAAGAGTTATTTTGATATGCCGTAAGGTTGCCTCAGCAGCCTACCCCCTTGATGCTAAAGAGTTTGAATTTATCAGAAAACAGCATTTTATGTTATACCAAAAACATGATATAAAAACATGAATGAAAAAATAATTCATCTTCTCTGGCTAGGAAAAGATAGGAGAGACTCAATAGTGCCATAAGATTCAGATGACACATGACTAAAAACAATTTGCTCAAATAGCATTTACAAGTTACATTAAAAGAGAGGTGCCTTATGAACAAAGTCTGTTGATCCCACACGCAGCGCACAACCAAAGAATAAACAAACAGGCCCAGCATATGACTTTAAAGTCAAATGGCTCGGCCAGGCGCGGTGGCTCATGCGTGTAATCCCAGCACATTGGGAGGCCGAGGCGGGCGGATCATGAGGTCAAGAGATGGAGACCATTCTGGCCAACATGATGAAACCCTGTCTGTACTAAAAATACAAAAAATTAGCTGGGCGTGGTGGTGTGTGCCTGCAGTCCTGCTACTCAGGAGGCTGAGGCAAGAGAATCACTTGAACCTGGGAGGCGGAGGTTGCAGTGAGCTGGGATCACGCCACTGCACTTCAGCCTGGTGACAGAGCGAGACTCTGCCTCAATCGAAAAAAAAAAAAAAAGTCAAATAGCTGAAAACATGTTGGAAAAGTGGAAAGTACACATAGAAGAATAGAATCTCACAGTAAAAAACTGATACAAATAGAAAATTTAAAAACCAATATCAATTTAAAAATTCAGAACTGCACAGAAAACTTGATTGGAGCTGGACAAATGCCAAACATAATGAAGATTCATCATATATACTGGAATATTTTCAGAAACACAAATTATATTTTTATACCTGAGAGTTTGCTTTATTTGGGAATTTGGTAAATTGATTTCTATGGAAGAAATATTATTTTCAAAGATTTTAAAATTCATATTATTCATCAAAACAAATCTTCACTTAACTCCAGATTTGGGTTAGGAACAATACCAAATCCTTACCCTTTGATGACACACAGCTGCTATACCCATATCAGCCCACCTAGTTGGTTGTTATGCTAACTGAATTTAGTGAATGCCAATGCATTTAACGCAAATACTCATGTTGTTTTTGTTTTGATTCCATTTACTGTGAAAAAAGCAAGTATAGCTTTTTCAATTTTCACCCACTTACAATCCATGTAAGAAGAAATTGTGTGATAAGGAATATATTATTGTTTCTTCATGTTAGACCTATCTCTATATAGTAATGATATCCAGGGTCAAAAATACAATGACATTTAGAAACTACCTCTTCCTGTTCAATCAATTCAATTGGCAAACATTCATTTTCATCACTGTATGTTCTAGCTACTGAATTTAAAAAATACACACAATTTTTTTCTTGCATAAGATGAATGTTCATTAATCTCAATTTTATTTACATAAATAAGTCAGCAATGGAATCTGATTACCGCAGTGAAAAAAGAATCCACAATTTTAATGTATTATAGCTATCAAAGGATTTCTGCAGCATCACACCATACAACAGAATATTCAACAGGGTTTCCCAAGATTTTTGTTTTACTTTCTTCCACAGCTTTTCTTTATGTGGACGAGATAGAAAATTAAATAATATTTTTTAGTCAAAATTTTTTTATACTATAGAAAACTGTATGATATAATATAGTAATCGTTCTCTAATATATAAAACTGTCTTGGTCTCATTGTAAAAGGCTCATAGAATTAATCACTTCGGTATGTGTCACCTGTGACCTAAGTCAACTGCAACTTAGAGTGACAATCCAGAAGATGTTTAGAGTTCTTAGCTGCTACACTAGACAGGGCCAAAGTGTGTGCTATGGACTGAATATTTGTGTCTTCCCTAAAGTAGGCTGTTGAAACTTAATTCACAATGTGCTGGTACTTGGAGGTGGGGCCCTTGGAGATGAATAAATCATGAAGGTGGTGCCCTCATAAATGAGATTAGTGCCTCTTTAAAAGAGACCCGAAAGAGCTCTTTTGGCTCTTTGACGCTGTGAGTTTACAGTGAAGAGACATCATCTAGGAAGCAGGAAGCAACCCTCACCAGATGCAGAATTTCCTGATGTCTTTCTCTTGGACTTCCCCAACTCTGGACCTATGAGAAATATATTTCCACTGTTTATAAGGCACCTGGTCTATGGTACTTTCTAATAGCAACTCAAACTAGCAGTGTTCATTGTTTGAACAAAGAGAGGTGAGGGACATGATTTAACATCTGTGCTTGCTGTAAAATGTGCACAATTTTGAGGGTCAGAACAAATTAACAAAATATCTTTTCCTGCACAATCTAGAACTGGTGTTCCAATCATAATATTTGTCTGAACCTGTTTATCCACAGCTTACTGGACATACAGAAGAATTTACAAGACAGGAAGACAAAAATGTCTTCTCCAGTTATTATACTGTGTTTCATAGCATGTGATTTGCTCATCCAGATGCATTTAGCACCAGTCAAAATTGTTTCCTAAGTACTGGGCAGATGATCACTTGAATAGAGTAGTTTGCATCTTTCAGTAACATCTTATGCCTTAGCTTCACCAGATTTACATAAGAAGTAATACCACTCATTAAGAATGAAGAATTCCAGAGAAATCACTGTCCTGAGATTGTTTTTATTGATGTTGAATACCTGCACAGTTTGGTTATGCTGCCTTCAACTGAAACTAATAGAATACATTGGCCTAAAGAGACTAGTTATCAAGTAGCTCTCTGATGACAAGGTTTTAAATCCTGTTACTCTTAACTAAGCATCCTAAGCATCCATTTTAAGCCAAATGAGATAGAAAAGATAAACAGAACAACTACTCATAGCTTAGCACTTATAGCTGGAAAATAGGCATTTGGATTTCCTGTTATAACAAAAATAAATGTGCGAACTAATGACAGTTTAGAAGTGACTTAGATATATGTATCATAAGTATAATAATATATATCAAAGCTTAGGTATTATCATATCTATCAGAAACTATAAGTCAAGTAGACTATATGAGAGATATATATTTACTGCAGTGGTGCCACCATTGAACAAGGGATTTAAAATTTTCTTCATAGGGCAGGTTAGCAGACACAATAGAAACCCATCTTATTACCATACGATTTTACCGTGTTCCGGGCACTAAACTGTGCTATCAGTTTTTATTCTCTCCCATTCTGAAGACTTAAATTTGAATAAGTCACAATTGCTTTCAAGAACCATAAATATCATCTGTTGTGGGTTGAATTCTGTCTCCCAAAAATATTTGTTGAAGTCTTAAC
Organism: Homo sapiens; assembly: GCF_000001405.40. Lineage (NCBI taxonomy): Eukaryota > Metazoa > Chordata > Mammalia > Primates > Hominidae > Homo > Homo sapiens. The sequence continues at coordinate 164,852,854 of NC_000006.12, forward strand.
CCCTGGTACCTGTATATATTCCCTTATTTGGAAACAGGGTCTTTGCAGATATGATCAAGTTAAGAAGAGGTCGCTAGGGTGGGCCCTCATAGGAAGGCAAGGTGGGCTGATCACAAGGTCAAGAGATTGAGACCGTCCTGGCCAACATGGTGAAACCCCGTCTCTACTAAAAATACAACAATTAGCTGGGCATGGTGGCACGTGCCTGTAGTCCCAGATACTCAGGAGGCTGAGGCAGGAGAATCACTTGAACCCGGGAGGCAGAGGTTACAGTGAGCTGAGATTATGTCACTGTACTCCAGCCTAGTGACAGAGTGAGACTCCGTCAAAAAAAACAAAAACAAAAAAAAGCAGAAGACAGAGACCTGCAGGGAAGTGACAGTCAGTCATGTGACAACAGAGGTGGAGATGAGGGTGATGCCTCTGCAACCAAGGCCCTGCGGCTACCAGAAGCTGGCAAAGTAAAGGAAAAATCTTCTACTAGAGGTTTTGGAGGGATTGTGTCCCTGCTAAAAACTTATTTTTTGTATTCTTAGCATCCAGAATGATGAGAAACTAAATTTCTATTAAGAACCCAGTTTATGGCAGTTTGTTAAGGCATCTTCCTGATACACCATCAAAGAAGTAACAGCCAAATATAGGTCAGGGGTTTCAAAAATGTTAGGAGAGTAAACAATAACACGAATAAAGATATCCAACGCACCATCCCTCTGATTGATCCCCACCCACACATTCCTGCTGTTTCTCAGAAATCAACTTAACAATCCACAAACATAGTATGAAATTAAGAGAGAAAATCATTTCAGCAAACTTGGAAAACAGAGTCTACATAAAATAATCTTTGAGCATGGTTTTTACTAAAGAACATTGAAGAACTGAATACCAACTTGAATTTTTCCTGAATAAATGATGTAGCACTGACAAAAAAGAGAATGTATTAGTAAAGGTCCTCCAGAGAAACAGACAAATAGGATAGAGCTAGAGATAGACATTGACATCCACATAGACCTAGACATAGACATCAACATCAACATAAAACTCAACATACACATAGACACAGAAGACATAGAACGAGATAGAAATAGATGGGATTAGCCTACACAGTTATGGAGGCTGAAGGGTCCTACCATGCTGTCTGCAAGCTGGGAAACAAGGAAAGCTTGTGGTGTAATTCACTCCGAGTCTTAAGGCCTGAGAACCAGGGTGGGGTGGAGAAGAGGGCTTCTGGGCTAAGTTTCATAATCTGATGGCCTGAGACTAGGAGCTTCAATGTCCCAGGCAGGAGAATATTGATGTTCCAGCTCAAGGAGAGGGAGAATAAATTCACCCATCCTCCCTTTGCCATTTTGTTCTATTTGGGCCCTCGATGGGTGGGATGATACCTGACCACATGGATGAGGGCAGATCTTCTTTACTCAGTGTACTGATTTAAATGTTAATCTCTTCCAAAAACACCCTCACAGACACATCCAGAAATAATATTCTGTCAGTCATCTGGGCATGTCTTAGCCCAGACAAGTTGACACAAAACCAACCATCAAAAATATCATTACAGAATGTTTAAAAATGATTTGGGTGTGGTTTAGAAAATGAATAGTAGGGGACATGAATGAAAGTTGGAGATCAGTTGGGATAATTCTAGTCTATGGAGACAGCATGGTCACTTTAGCTTGGGTACTGGCAATAAAGAATAAGTGAAATGGATATTTTTTGGAACTATCTTTGGAGTTGCATTAATAGAACTTTCAAGGCTGAAGAAGAGATAGCTGTCAGAGGTAATTCCCAGGTTTGGCTTGAACAACTGGTTTCCATGGAGGCATTATTTCTTGATGGAGTTGCCAGTTTACTAGGGGATAAACAATGGCATGAACACAATTCAAGTAAAGGAAGTTGGTTCTTGGCATAGTGTCTCCACCAGATAAACAATAGCCTTTGTTGAAATAAAATCCAAATGTGGGCATTTCCCTGAAATCCAACTCTCTCAACACTTATCATTTATCTCTTCCTCCAGCTGAAGATCCAATAAAAAAAAAATCTAATAGCATTCCAATTGAACTGTGAGTGAATACCCTCATTTTCAGTTTTAGAAATCACTAGCATCAATTATTGGCCTCTCTTTGATCAGTGATTAGCAAGCATGAAAAACCAGCATGAGTCCTGTGAAATTACTTTATAATATAAAGATGGAATAAACCAGCACTAAGGAAATAGAAGAAATTAGATTTCTACATTTTTTAAAATAAAAATATTTTAGACAACATGTTCTGAATTCCTCTAAAAATTAAATAAAACAAGAACACTATGAAACAAAATATACACATTAGTAAATTTTAAAATAACAATCTTAAAGGAAAACAGAGATTGCCAAAGTTAAATAAAATAAGTAAAATTAATCATGTCATAAGATAATTCAGAGGACATTAAAAATAATGAGGGAATTTATTAATGCAGAAAAATAAATCAGAGATGAAGCGATCATGTATGCCTATAATTCCAAGGAGAAGAAATATAGATAAAGAAGATGATAGATATAAAAAACAAATAATATAATATGTTTGCATATGTATGCCTGCAGAAAAATTTCAGGCTAATAGAGAACAGCACATGTAAGAGATATAATTAAATATGATAAAAGAAAATGTATCTGGAAAGTCCTTGTCAGGCTAAAGCAAGCCATACATTTACATTTAGAAAGGGTTGACTTTATACCTAGCCAAAAATGGATAAAATCACTGAAATCTAACAATTAAAAATATTTTGTACAAAAAAAAGTTTTTTAGAAAACATTTTTAAGAAAATATTATCAAAGAAAAAAACCAGCAGGCTGTCCTGCTACTTCTCTTCAGTAAATAGAAATGCCAAAAGGCAATAAAACAGACACTCCCAGGATTCAGGGAGACAAAGCTTCACTAGGTTCAAGGCTGCCTCTAGTGCAGAGTGCAGGCTTGGCCATGGGGACCCCCTCAGCAGGTATCACTGTGCCAGGAACAGCTGCTATTTATTCCAGCTTCAAATACATTTATCAGAAAACAAGAAAGACTGAAAACACATTACTAAATGCTTCTCTCTAAAAGTTTAGGAAGAACTGAAGATACTCAGTAAACAAGAAAAAAGAAAATAATGAATTAAGAATAAAAATATAGAGAATAAAAGCACTGGAGTAGGTCATCTAAACCATCTAAACCAAAAGCTAATTATTTGGAGAGAGCAATAGGGTAAAATTCTGAGACAAACAGTCAAGGAAAGAAAAAGAATGATGAAAATTGACAAACTATAGAACCAAATAAGATGGGTAATAATTTCATACTGTAGAAGTAAAGATGAAATTATTAGCAAAAACACACAAGTGGATTTGAACCAGAATGCCGGCTATAAACCTCACCTTACAACACAGAGTAGAGAAGGAGGTGTGTGGGTGGGTGGACGGGGTGCAGCACTCTGTTTCCACCAGCTCCCAATCCTAGCAGGCTTCAAGCTCTGTGCTTTCTCCGGCTGGTTCCTGGCTAGCGTCTACCTCACACTGAGCAGGACAGGGATTCCCCTGGATAAGGAGGAGGAGGAAAAGAGCTCCACACAGCAATTCCTCAGCCCCATCCCGGCTAAGGCAGGTGCCCTTCATTGTTTTTGGTTGCTAACCTCATATAGAGCACATAGTGTGAAGGCGACCTTCGCACGCCTACCCACCTTACGGCCCCTGGCTCCACTGAGCTCTCTCTTGACTTTTTAAAAATGTTTTGTTTTGAAATAATTACAAACTCAAAAGAAGTTCCATAAATAGTACAGGGTCCCACCCATCTTCCTTCAATGGTGACATCTTAAATAGTACAATAATCAAAACCAAGAAGTTACTCCTAACTAAACTATAGATCATATTCAATTTCCACCATCTTCCAAACATGCATCTGTGAGTTTCGGGGACATTCTGTGTAATGTTATCACATGCAGACATTTGCATCCATCCCCACAATTCGCTCTTGGTTTTTATGTCAGTTTCTCTAGTCATTCAAGCTCTCTCGCTTTTTTATCAGTGAAAGTTTCGTTTTGGGGAGAATCAAAAGCCGATGTAACGTTAATGTCTTGGTAGAATCTAGAAGACATTAAAATTAACTATTGTATTAAAAGTCCAGCGAATTAAATAAGAAAAGAAATAAAATTAAGTATAAAAATTTAAACACAAGAGAAAAATAGCAAACAACTCCAGACAATTTTCTAGGTAGTTTTATAGACAACCTAGAAAATTCAGAAGAATCCACTGAAAAACCAGAGTTTAAATGAAATTGCCTGTGTAAAATTAAAATACAGTCATGTATCACTTAACGACACAGGTATCATTTGAGAATCCTTGTGTGAATGTCATAGAGTGTACTTACACAACCCTACATGGTTTAATCTACTACACATTTAGGCTAAGTATTAAAGTTTATTGCTCTTAGGTTATAAACCTGAACAGCATGTTACTTTTCTGAATACCATAGGCAATTGTAACACAACGGTAAGTATTTGTGTATCTAAACATACCTAAATATCAAAAAGGTACAGTAAAATTATGGCACAAAAGATTATAAATGGTATACCTGTATAGGGCGCAGGAATAAAGCTTGCAGGACTGGAAGTTTCTCTGGGTGAGTCATTGAGTGAGTGATGGATGTATGTGAGGGCCTCGTACATTACCATACACTACCGTGGACTTTATAAACACTATACACTTAGGCTACACTGAATTAAAAAGAAATTATTTCTTCAATAATAAATTAACCTTAGCTTAGTGTAACTGTTTTACTTTGCAGACTTTCTAATTGTCTAACTCTTTAACTTTTATGATCACACTTAGTTTAAAACATAAACGTATTGTATAGCTGTACAAATACATTTTCTTTCTTTATATCATTATTGGAAAAGCTCTTTTATATTTTTATTTTTTCACTTTTAATTTTTTTAAATAAAATCTAAGACACAAATGCACACATTAGCTTACACCTACACAAGGTGAGGATCGTCAATATCACTGTCTTCCACTTCCACATCTTGTCCCAGTAGAAGGTCTTCAGGGGCAATGACAGGCATAGAGCTGTCATCTCCTATGATCACAACGCCTTCTAGATATCTCTGGAAGGACCTGCCTGAGGCTGCCTAACAGTTAACATGGTTTCAGTAAGTAGCAGGAGTACATTCTAAGTTAATGATAAAAATATAGTGTGGTAAATAAATAAACCAGTAGCAGTCACCTATTATCATGCACTGTATGCAATTGTATGTGCTATAATCCTATCCAACTGGGAGCACTGTAGGTTTGTTTACACCAACGTCACTGCAAGCACTTGAGTGACGTGTTGCACTATGATGTTATCATGGCCATGACATCACAAGGTGATAGGAATTTTTTAGCTAGATTATAATCTACTGGGTCCACCATCATATATGCAGCCCATTGTGACCTGAAATATCATTAGGTGATGCGTAGCTGAATAAATATCTAATACATCAGCAAACACAGATTAGAAAATATTGACATAAAATATTGAAGTAACAAAATAAAATACCCAGGAAAACTATAGAAACTATAAAACTCTAGAAAGGATTTATGAAAAAAAATTTTAAATTCCACTAAGGAAATAAAGGTTACCCAAATTACTAGAGATATTATGTCCATGGATTGAAGATTCAATATGGCATATACACCATCTCTCCAAAATTAACCCATAAGTACAGCATAGTCATAGACAAATCTTTAAAAGGACTTTTTATAGACCCTGACAAAACAGTTGTAAAATTTACATGATGCAATATGCACAAAAAGAGCCAAGGTTACTGTGGAAAATAAAAACAGAAGGGCTTTTCCTTCAAAATATTAAAACTTACTTTATATTTCAAGTTACTACAGGAGTGTAGGATTTGTATCAAAAGAATAGATGAATGGAATAGAACTAATGATATAAAAACAATTATATACATACGTATTATACACACACACATATATATCTTATGTATCTATATGCATATTCATGAAGTTGGAAGGGGAGGAAAGGGCTTATAAAGAAGTCTCCAGAACAAAACCTAGCAAAGACTGATATATGTTCTTCATCAAAATTAGGTATTTTTAAATGTACTTAAAAGCAAAGTTAGAGGATAAAGAAATTTAGAAATTATGCTCTACATATGTAACAAGGAAATAATATTAGTAAAAATTAACTAAAAACTACAAATTAATTTTTAAATGACCACTCAAAAAAATAAACACAGGAAAGTAACAATAATAAAAATTAAATATTTGATAATAAATGAAAAGCTCTTGAATGTCACTAGTATCACAGAATACGAAAACTAAACTACAGTTAAAGTTTTCACCCATTCAGTTGTCAAAGTTTATAGTTTTATAATATCTTAGTTGGCAAGCCTGAGGAAATGTATATACTTACACACTCATGGCTGACTCTCACTTCATATATTCTTGAAAATAAATAAACCCTGCCCACCTAGGATTCTATATTCAATTTTTTCATTAAGTAGGCCAAGCATACTTACATGTGTCACAGAAAAAAAAAAAACAAAGACAAGAGGAGAATAATATTAGAGTGTCAACACGGATTATATTTTGGAATTTATTTAAATTACCTAAATACAAGTTGAAAGTATCCAACTCAAATTAAAGTTAATATTTTGTTAAAAAACAGAAACCGTTTTCTAAAGAAATCCTTTAAAAGAACACCTGTGTCAATAAGCGTATGTCTAAAACATGTAAGCACTTACAACTCAATGTACTTTTATTTTTTACGTTAATTCCTGTATTATACCTAAGAAGTAAAGATTAATAATTTGTCTCATAACTGCATCACTTTAGGCTGCAATGTCTACCATTGATGCATGATTTTTTTTTTAATAATTTCTTGGGAAAGCAAAACAAAAATTCAGTACAAATACTTTTTGAAATGATTACTTTTTTCATTGAATAGACAGAAAGTAAAATGAAAGAGATTGCAGTTTGGGGGAAGAAAAGAGGCTGGAATGGAAGCTTGATTAGTTAAAGTACTTTAAAGAAATTTAAAATCCACCTGGCACTCAGATATAAAAAGCAATGAAGATTGAGCTGCTGTGCTGACATTTCTTTCTGGATTGCAGAGGACTGTAATGACTCATACTTCATTGCTATGCCAGCCTATCTTTCTGCCACGAGCCTCCATTAAGGTTAAAACAAATGTAAAAGCGAACTGCAAAGCGCATGTCAGGGTAGCACTGGCAAGTTTTAGTGACCTGTCACGGTGACATAGACCCCAATATGCCCACCTAAAAGCTCCACAGGTAAAAGTGTCTAATGACAGGGACTTCAGGACAAATCTATACCGAAATGAAATTGGAAGTCGCTCTGATGTTACCTAGCAGCGTGGAGGCTGACCCTCACAGGCATTAACGTGATACAAAGGATGCCTTAGTAACCAGGCACAGGGAAATATAATTGGCAAAGTAAGCGATTTTAATAGAGCATATAAAAATGTGTGTGGAGACAGATAGGGACGGTCCCTTCTATGCAATTTTCTAGTAATGGTAGTTGTGTGTGTGTTAAATGAAAGTATGGGTGAGTTCAAATCAGCCTTTCCAGAAGAGCAGCAATATCAAATAGAAAATAATCATAAAATACTATGTATGTGTTTTAAAATGAATTTTTCACATACAGTTGTTGTCAGGTTGAAAGTCAAGATTTATTCTGAGGACTGGAGCAAACTGAAGGTTGCTAGAAATTTATCCCTAATTCTGCTATATTATGATACTATACTGTTCTCTGTGAGAGAACACACATGTATGCTGCGTGTGTGTGTGTGCACTTATGCATGTATGTGTGTGCAGTCTGTTCATATGCATGTGTGTGTGTGTGAGCACACACTTGTCCGTCAAGAAGAGAAAGGAACAATGGATGAAGAAAGAAAACCAGGAATATTATTGTCCCACATTTTTCATATTGCTCATCAGTGGTGGCTCCTAAGTTTCTACCAAGGAAACCTGGAAGAGAAAATATTGGTGGGACTCTCTGTGACCCAGCATATCACGTGTTTCTTAGATGGAGTGTCCATGGGGTAGTCTGAGGAGCTAATTGAGATTTCACAGTGGCTGCAGCCTTCCAATGCCCTCCTTTGCACCAACACTGCTGCTGATGTCTGACATTCTTAGTACTTCATGCTAATGTGACATAAATGACCATGAGGCATGATAACCAGGATATGAATAAAATCTCTCATAGAATGATGATAAACATTAAATGAGACTATAGTGATGACAAATGTCAAAGAGTACCTGGTAAGAAGTAAGCACTCAATAAATGCCCCGTGTTATTATTCTAATTGTACAGGACAGGTGCCCCTCAATATCCCCAGAAGACTGGTTCCAGGACCCCTCTCAGATACAAAAAAATCCATGGATGTTCATAACCCTGATATAAAATAGCTACCACCTGCATATAACCTACGCACACCCTCCTGTATACTTTCAGTCATCTCTAGATTATGTGTGATTCCTAATACAATGTAAATGCTATGTAAACAGTTGTTATACTGCATTTCTGAAGAATAAAGACGAGGAAAAAAGTCTGTACATGTTCAGTACAGACAAATCTTTTTTCAGATATAAGGTTGGCTGAATTCATGGATATGGAACCCAGGAATAGGGAGAGTCAGTTCTATTAGCTTAAAAAATGCACCAGAGCTCTGCATACAAATGATCTTGCTATCTTTTCAGGCATCTCCTTGGAAGGCATTAAACTTATTCCAGCAAGATGTCATTGTTTTTTCCAACATCACTAAAGCACTTTGAATTCTTCTTTTTGAACAGCTTTTAAAACCTGCAAAATTTGATTTGAACATTCTTAATCATGGCAATTCACTGATAGGCATGATTTCTGATTTTATTTTTATTGCTTCCCTAAAGGACAAATGCAGTATTCTAAGTGGAAGGGACAGTGGGAGACACATTGATGAGTCAAGACATTCATTGTCCAGCTTCCCTTCAAAAAGATGATAATTTAGAGCCCAGAATGAACGAGATAACTAACAAAGTTGCCCCTTTTCTGATAAAAATTAAGGGGATAATAACTTGTATTTTATGGCTTACACAGAGCCTATAATGCACTTCCAATGAACAATTTCAAAAGTGTGTTAAATCGAAAACCATATTCATTTGGAAGAATACAATCTGTAAATCTGTTATAAAATTAAAAATAAAGCATCAACTCTCAGAACTGTGGAGTTTATTACTAAGCGAACTTGCTGATTGGAATGCCCTTGATACATGTGCTATCTGCTTCTGTTTGCACAGCGGAGAGTTCACAGCCTTACAGAAAACCCTCATATGTACTGGCTTTCACTTTCTCAACTGAGTGTAGCTTCAAATCTCTATGTAAGAGCCCTTTTATCCACTGTCTATCAATATTTGTGGCTTACTTTGTCACTACTCTTACCTCAGTGTAATCGATTTGCCTACTTCATTGCTTGTTATCTGTTAGAGCAGGGGCTGTGTCCTGTGTCCACTATACACAGGATTTAGAAAGGAATTTGAGGCAAAAAAAATAAATATACAAAACTCTTTTCAGTAAACAGCTTAGAGGAGGGTAAGGCTGGATACAAAGTTCCAGATAGACATTGCTGAAGTGAAGGTGAAAGGTGTTTTACACGAGGAAACAGCAGCGGGGCGCACAGAGGGAATTCACATGAAAGCAGGTAAGGAGGCAGCAGGGGCGAGACAAGGGTTGCTTGGATTTATGCAGGAGAAGGAGGCAGAATCCCCACATCCCTCGCGGGTTTCTAACCTGCCTACCTGGGAATTTTCCCATCCACCTATAATGGGAAGAATGGAACAAATGTATCTCAGTGGACTCACAGGAGAAAAGATCAAGCGTTTTTCGTCTTGCACACCAAGATCCAGTAGGAAGCACAGCACACAGTAAGCAAAGAATTGCCTATGAGTAGTGCACTTACGTAAACCATGAAAAGTAAGCATAGGACAGCATTTGGAAAAAAGGTAGAGAATTTGAGGAGATGATTTCATGGACCTATACTGAAAGCCACGTGACCAAATAAAGATGCTAAAGAAGCCTTTTCTAGTAATTTCATGTTAGATTTTTACAGAAGCCAGATACGGATGTAATAAGACATCATAGACACTCTGATATCTAGTTTGTTTGTTTGTTTGTTTGCTTGCTTGTTTTTGTTTTCTGAGACAGAGTCTTGCTCTGTCGCCCAGGCTGGAGGACAGTGGCACGATCTCGGCTCACTGCAACCTCTGCCTCCTGGGTTCAAGCAATTCTCCTGCCTCAGCCTCCTTAGTAGCTAGGATTACAGGCATCCACCACCACCCCAGGCTACTTTTTGTATTTTTAGTAAAGATGGAGTTTCACCATGTTGGTCAGGCTGGTCATGAACTCCTGACCTCAAGTGATCTGCCCAACTCAGTCTCCCAAAGTGCTCAGATTATAGGCGCGCCACTGCGCCCGGCCAGATATGTTTTAACGCAGGTTTTTGAGGTATGATTCTCATAGAGCAAATGTTTTCCTTCCCAGTTCTACAGTCTGTAAATATTGACAAATACTTATGTACAATAAAGTAACCACCACCACAGTCATGAGACATTTTCTTTGTTTTTATTTTCCAGTAATTGTAATGTATCTTGACATAGGTTACTCTAGGTTTATCATATTTTGAATTTGTTCAGCTTCTTTATTATGTGGGTTTTATCTTTCATAATATTTGGGAAAGAGTGCTTGTATCAAAAGCCCCCAGGTAGGGGGCTTGTTGTGGTGGGGTCCCTCTTGTCAGTGCCCAACATAGCAGGACCCCGGGATGTTGGAGCAGAATCTCAGGCTCAGTGGAGACACAGAGAGCTTCCCTTGTCTATGCACTGTTGGTGAAGCTTCAGGTTGAAGCCCCACACTTGTCCTGCTGTGCTCCTCTGGTCTTATCAGGACTCCAATTTGACCTGCGTGATGAATAGTCCTACATAGGACACATTCTGTTGCCAAGTGCAGGTCAATGTTATCAGGTGTATTAGTCCATTCCCACATTGCTATAAAGAAATACCCAAAACAGGCCAAGCGCGGTAGCTCATGCCTGTAATCCCAGCACTTTGGGAGGCCGAGGCAGGCAGATCACAAGGTCAAGAGATTGAGACCATCGTGGCCAACATGGTGAAACCCTGTCTCTACTAAAAATACAAAAAATTAGCCGGGCGTGGTGGCAGGCGCCTGTAATCTCAGCTACTTGGGAGGCTGAGGCAGGAGAATCACTTGAACCCGGGAGGCAGAGGTTGCAGTGAGATGAGATCGCGCCATTGCACTCCAGCCTGGGCAAAAAGAGCGAAACTCCTTCTCAAAAAAAAAAAAAAAAAAAAAGAAAAAGAAATACCCCAAACTGAGTACTTTATAAAAGAAAGAGGTTTAATCAACTCACAGTTATGCATTGCTTGGGAGGCCTCCGGAAACTTACAATCATGGCAGAAGGCAAAAGTAAAGTAGGCACTTTCTTCACAGGGTGGCAGGATGGAGTGAGTGCAAGCAGGGGAAATGCCAGATGCTTATAAAACCATTAGATGTGGGAATTCACTCACAATCATGAGAACAGCATGGGGAAACCACCTCCATGATCCAGTTACTTCCACCTGGTCTTGCCCTTGAAACGTGGGGATTATGGGGAGTACAATTCAAGGTGAAATTTGGTGGGGTCACAGAGCCAAACCATATCACCAGGTCTGGGCCATTTTCTACTGTTAGGTGGGGGTCTTAACAAGACCAAACACTATGCATTTCCTCCTGTCTTGGTATGTCTAACCAGTTCACTTTTCTCTTTCCACCTTTCAGAGTTCTTATTTGGTTGTCTCTTAGGAGATCTTGAATTACAGCTGTATGTTGCAAGAGGAGAGAATCAACAAACTTGAAGACAGGATAATTGAGATTACTGAGTCTGAAACAGAAAGAAAAAAGATTGAATAAAAGTTAACAGACAGTGTGGGGCACCATCACACAAACCAACATAGGCACTGTGGGAGTCCCAGAAGGATAAAACAGAAAGAAAATGGAGATTACTTGAAGAAATAATGGTTTAAAACTTCCCAAATTTTATGAAAGACATAAATATAAATATTCATGAAGCTCCACAAACTCCAAACAGGATGCACTCAAAGAGAACCACACAGGCCAGGTGTGGTGCCTCATGCCTGTAATCCCAGCACTTTGGGAGGCTGAAGCAAGTGGATCGCTTGAGCTTAGTAGTTCAAGACCAGCATGGGCAACATGGCAATACCCTGTCTTTACAAAAAATACAAAAATTAGCGAGGTGTGGTGGCACACACTTGTAGTCCCAGTTACTTGGGAGGCTGAGAGGCTGGAGGATCACTTGAGCTCCAAAGGCAGAGGCTGCAGTGAGCCAAGGTCATGCCACTGCACTCCAGCATGAATGACAGAGTGAGACTCTGTCTCAAAAAAAAAAGACAAATACACCAAGACACATTATGATCACACCATCAAAAGAGAAAGAGAGAATCTGGAAAGTAGCAAGAAAGAAGCAACTCTTCATATATGATAGATTCTCAGGAAAATTATCAGCATATTTCTCACCAGAAATCTTGGAAGTCAAAAAACTTGTGAACCAAGTATGTTCAGGAAAACCGTCCTTTGAAAGCAAGGGGAAAGTAAATGAAAATAAGGGGAAAGTAAAGACATTCTTACATAAACAAAAGCCGAAGATTTTGTTGTTACCATGAGACCTGCCCTGCAAGAAATATTAAAGGGAGTCCGTCCTACAAGTTGAAATGAAAGGACAGTGGACAGTAACTTGAAGTCTTGAGAAGAAATGAAGATCCCTGTAAAGAGATATACATGGGCAATTATAAAACCCTGTATAATTTTGATGTTGGTTTACAACTTTGCTTTTTTTTCATAATTTAAGAAATGGATGCATTAAAAAACAAGTATTTGTCTATGTTTTGGGGAACAAAATGTATAAGGATGCAATTATGTGACATTAAATAACTGAAATAATGAAAATGGAACTGTTAAAAGAGTAAGTTAAGCTAGTACGAATTCAAATTAAGGCATTATAATTTTATGAGCTTAAATATAACTCCTATGTTAACCGAAAAGAAAATAGCTATAGAATATACAGAAAAGAAAATGGGAAGGCAATTAATATGTTTTACTGTAAAAAATTAAAAATAAGATCGCAATGAAGAAATGGAGAAAAATTCCATAGGTATATGTAAAACAATAGAAAAATGACAGAAGTTAAATTTATTCTCATTAATAATTCTTTTAAATGTAAATTTAAATGAATTAAACTGCTTGATCAAAATACAACTATTCACAGAATGTATTTTTAGTAACCCATATATATGCTGTCTGTAAGAGACTTGTGTTAGATCCAAAGACATAAATAGGTTGAAAGTGAAAGAATAGAAAGATATCACATGAAAATATTTACTAAAAGAGAGCAAAGGTGACTGGAACTAATGTCAGACAAAATAGAGTTTATATTTAAAATGTTACAGAAGACAAAGAATATTATTTACTAACAAGGTTCAATAAAGCAAAAAAGATATAAAAGTATGAATAATTATGCATCTAATAAAACACCATCAAAATATATAAAGCAAAACTTAAGAGAATTAAATGGAGAAATAGTTCTACAATAGTATTTGAAGATTTCAATAATCTGCTTTTATTATGAATAGAATAATCAGATTGAATATAAGTATAGAAATAGAGTACTTGAACAACAAAATATGCCAACTAGATCTAACAGACCTATACAGAAAATTCCACCCCAAAACAACAGCCTACACATCTGTCTCAAGTGCGCACAGGACGTTCTCCATAATAGACCATATGTTAGGCCACAAATTCAGGCTACTATTAAAAAAAGATGAAAATAACAAGTGTCAGAAAATAAGGGGAAACATTGGAACTGTTGTGCACCGTTGGCATGAATTTAAAATGTTGTACCCACGATAGAAAACAGTATAGTGGTTCCTCAAAAATTAAAAATATAATTATCATATGATCTAGTAATTCCACTTCCAAGTGTACACTCAAAAGAAATGAAAGTAGGATATGAAAAAGATATTTGCATACCCATGTTCATAGTGGCATTATAGATTAAAGGTGGAAGCAACTCAAATGTCCATCAAAGGATGAATGGCTAAAGAAAAGGTAGTATATATGTACAAGAGAATATTGTTCAGCTGTGAAAAGGAAGAAAATTCTGACACATGCTTCAATTTGGGTGAACCTTAAAAACATATGCAAAATGAAATAAGCCAGTCACAAAAAGACACATGATTCCACATATATAAGGTACTTAAAGAGGTCATATTCATAGAGACAGATAATAGAATGGTAGTTGCCAGGGACTCTGGGGAGAGAGGAATTGTGAGTAGTTGTTTAATGAGAACAGTTTTAGTCTAGTAAGAAAAAAAGAGTTTGGGAGAAGAATGGTGGTGATGGTTGAACAATATGAATGTACTTGATACCACTGAACTATACTTTTAAAAATGGTTAATATGGTACATTTTACATGATGGGTATTTTCCACAATTTTTAAGAAGTATTTTTTAAAAGTAGATATACCATTTTCATTCCCACAAGCAATGTATGAGGTTTCGAGTTGCTACACATCATTGCTAGTATTTGGTATTGAAAGATTTTTAAATTTTTATTTTAGCCATTGAAATATTTAGAAGTAACTCACTGTAGTTTTATTTATTTTTTTCTTAATTTTATTTTTTTAATTATACTTTAAGTTCTAGGGTACATGTGCACAATGTGCAGGTTTGTTACATATGTATACATGTGCCATGTTGGTGTGCTGCACCCATTAACTCATCATTTACATTAGGTATATCTCCTAATGCTATCCCTCCCCCCTCCCCCCATCCCACAACAGGCCCCAGTGTGTGATGTTCCCCTTCCTGTGTCCAAGTGTTCTCATTGTTCCATTCCCACCTATGAGTGAGAACATGTAGTGTTTGGTTTTTTGTCTCCTTGTGATAGTTTGCTGAGAATGATGGTTTCCAGCTTCGTCCATGTCCCTACAAAGGACATGAACTCATCCTTTTTTATGGCTGCATAGTATTCCATGGTGTGTATGTCCCACATTTTCTTAATCCAGTCTATCACTGATGGATATTTGGGTTTGTTCCAAGTCTTTGCTATTGTGAATAGCATATAAACAGAACCAAAGACAAAAACCACATGATTATCTCAATAGATGCAGAAAAAGCCTTTGACAAAATTCAACAGCCCTTCATGCTAAAATCTCTCAATAAATTAGATATTGATGGGATGTAACTCAAAATAATAAGAGCTATTTATGAAAAACCCACAAACAATATCATACTGAATGGGCAAAAACTGGAAGCATTCCCTCTGAAAGCTGGCACAAGACAGGGTGCCCTCTCTCACCACTCCTATTCAACATAGTGTTGGAAGTTCTGGCCAACTCATTGTAGTTTTAATTTGCATTTCCGTGATGAAGAATACTGTTGAGGATCGTTTCCTGTGCTTATTCACCATCCTTGTTCTTTCTTTAACTAAGTGTATTATTTGCCAGGTTTTAAATTTCGTTTAGTTATTGAGTTGTAAATGTTCTTTTTATATTATGGAGACTAGTCCTTTATAAGATATGTTTTATGCATATATTTTTTCCTGGTCTATGGATTATATTTGAAATTTTTTAACAAGGTTTTTCAAGGTGTAGAAGTTTTGAATTTTGATGATATACAATTTGCCTCCCTTTTTTTTGATTTGAGTATTCTGTGTCCTATCTAAAAAATTATTTACCTGAATCAGGATTGTAAAGTAAAAATTTGTTCTTATTTTATTTGTTTTTGGTTTTTTCCTTCTCATTTTTTTATGCTTTAGGTTTTATGTTTAGGTCAATAATTCATTTTCAGTTAATTTTTGTGGATCATGTAAAGTGGCAGTTTTTTATAAGAATTTTCAATTGCTTCTGCATTTTTTGATAAGATTATACTACACTTACAGTAATTATTGATGTAGTTAGATCTAAATCTACCATTCTGCAGGTTGTGTTTTTCCTGTTCCATTCTTTTGTTTTATTTTTCCCTTTATCTTATTGCTTTTAGGTCAGTTGAACAGTGCTTATATTGTCCATTTCATCCCCACTAAGGGCTTATTAGTTATGCCTCTTTCCTTATGTTTCTGTATAGCCTTAGAGTTTTCAATACACATCTTTATTTTATCATGGTTTACATTCATAAACACATACCATTTTATATGTAGTTTAAGAAACTTATAATTGTCTATCCCTATTTTATCCTTTATGCTGTTTTTGTCATACATTTTACTTTTATATACTTTATTAACTTTAAAACTTGTTATTAATATTTTTGCTTTACAGAATCAATTATCTATTAGCCATTTAAAATAAGAAAAATTATCTTACATTTACTTTTGTATTTATCATTTCACGAGTTCTTTCTCAGCATTCTCGTCCTTCCTCTTCACATCACCCAAGCTCTGCCTTGTATTGGTGTGCATCTTATGCAAGCCAGAATTTTCTTCCTCTCTCCAGCGGTGGAAAGCTTCTAATTTTACTGGTATAGGATCATGAGCTCTGAGATTTTTCTTGGTACTTCCCATAGGTTGAGAGGTTGTTTCTTCTCTCCTTTGTCCAACAACAATGACATAGCTTTGACTGGGCTTTTTGCCCTATTCCCCTAGTACTTAAGACTTTTGCTCCTTATGAGAGAAGTGTCCAGGCAGTGGGGCCAAGGTTTTGTGCCTTCCATAGAGACAATTGATTCCTCCCTGCAGTCCTGCACAAGGAATTCCCCATTGATCTCCCACCCTTCCCCTAAATCCCCCCCTCATGAGCCCATGGTGGAGCTACATGAAAAAGGAAAAGAGCCTGTGAGTGAAGGTAGTCTCTCCCTGAATTTGGGGCTCTCAAGGGGTCTACATGATCATGGTAGCTCACACTCAACCTTCAGCAACACACGAAAACTTGAGCTGACTTCCTTTTACCTTCCTTCATGACAGCCACCCCTTCCTCTAGGACACTGACACCAGTCAGACTGGCTGTATGTCAAGTCTTTACTCAGCAGGGAATGGGAGGCAGCCTTCTCTCTCTGGATTTTAGTCTAATTGATTGACTTGTGATCTCAGCTTTCTTACAGGTAAAATAGTATTATTGTTTTATACTGTACCTAGCTTTTTCTTGTTGCTGGAGTGAGAGAAATGCTTTTTCTAGTTTTTTACATCCTAGACCTAACTTATACATTTTATGAGCTACCCTTGGTGATATTGTCATCTCAGTAGGTGAAGTAAACAATGGAAAACAAGGATCAACCGACTGGTAAAGCTCATAGAACAGGAAACCAGTTGGAAATTCATTATGTTGCTTTAGACACAAATGGCACAAAAGCTGTTGGACTGATAGCCTCTTCAGGATAACATTTATCCTCAGAGATTTCTCAACACCTTGTAATGTGTACTGTGAGACAGCCAATTAATGTCTTTGAATTCTGAGTCAAAAGATCCTGGCATTCTTTACAAACCAGTAAGGGAAGTGTTTGCTATGTAAAGAAATGAGGTCAGATTCGAGAGCTGGAGTTTTTAGATATAGTGAGATCAAATAGATTTTGCTGCCTAGCTTCCAGTGAGGCCTTTTTAACAGCAACAACAAAATAACAATATGCTTTTCCTCAGTTTGATGGGAGACATCTTCCCAAAAACTCTGTGCAGGATTCAGGAGAAAGTTTTTAATATATGACTCATATTTATCTATTGTATATTCTAATAAGATTTCTCTATGGCTTTCTAATACCTCTAGGTACTCAGATTTGTTCAATCAAAGCCAAATGATGTGAATGATAAAATCGAATTGATTCTCCTTCCCAGTAAGTCCTGTTCCCTTGACATTTTTCTAATAATCTATGCCCCCTCTGAAAATATAGGCAAATGATGAAGGGTAATGAGGCCCACAATAACATGATTGTTCACCTGTTATGCTTAATGAGGCTTATGCTATATTCCTCCAGATTCTGCGGAGGCTAAAGCCCACTCGTTCATTTCATCAGGACCCTGAAACATAATACTACTGTTTTATCCTGGTAACTGCCAGCCACAGATTCACCCTGATGAACTTCAGTGCCTTTAAACAAGGAATCGAAGATAAAGGAAACCAGTTAAATGGCACCCTGAGTGTTGTTTATGGTACTTCACAGTCATTACAGGGGTGTATCCATAATGTATAGCAACCATTTGCCATCCTACAGCTCTTTATCTTTCCAGGCTATGAGGGCTGCTGTAGATGGTCAGCTTGTTCTTAATTTAGTGCTGAAAACCAATTTTATTCATTTTATTATAGAGTAACCCATGAAAATAAGTCTCGTTTAACTAGCTTTATTTATTTATTTTTTTGGCTGAGACTCAGATGATCAGGACAACTGCCTAATTCAAATTTGTTGATTGCAGTGCGGTTTGTACAAAACTTCTACTATTGCATATCACAGATAACCATGCTGGTGAGACTGGGTGAATGTTCATTTGCAAATAGCCTGGAACATTTCCTGTCAATTGATTGTTTCCAGCTTGCTCAAATGTGAAGTAAAAGAGCATAAACAATGGAATCTAGTTCCAAGCTTAACTCTTAGCCCCACCAATAAGACAACTTATTTCCACATTATTTTTAATTCAACCCTTTATATATTTTAAATTGAGTTAACATTTACCCTCCATATTATCATACCTTCTCCTGAACCTATCAACTTCACTATTTAATAAACAAATACATTAAAATACAACCAAAACCAATTCTGCCTTCTGATCTGTCTTCTGAAGGTAACCTTTTAAGCACTAACTCTTCCTGACCCACCTAAATTGTTAGTAAAAGAATGCCACTCATAAGTGAAGCCTGCTTGGTGTCTTCTAGATTGGTATCAATAGGAAGTAGTAGTGAGAATGAAGTCAGGATATTAACCAAGATGTACACAGAGCCAGTCAGAGCTGAATAAGCATAACAGAAAGACAGGGAAGCACTGGCTTGCCCCGCATAACAGAAAGACAGGGAAGCACTGGCTTGCCTCACTTTCGGCTTCAACCTTTTTCATTCACTTA
Organism: Homo sapiens; assembly: GCF_000001405.40. Classification (NCBI taxonomy): domain Eukaryota; kingdom Metazoa; phylum Chordata; class Mammalia; order Primates; family Hominidae; genus Homo; species Homo sapiens. Next base: position 164,871,962 of record NC_000006.12, read on the forward strand.
TATCTGTGGGAGAGGTCAGGAAAAGACCAGGAATATATTCTCCCTTTCAGACATTCATTGCATTAGGCTCTCAGTATAAACTGGATCCTGAAGTCAAACAAATAAATCACTTACAGGAATCTGGCATCTTTCCTCAATACATCAATAAAGAAGAGTGTGTGGTGGGGGGCTGTGAGTGCACACAAGTGTGTGTTCTTTTCTTTTAAACATTTATTACTAAATTAGTGAACATTATATTTGCTTCATTGCATAATAATTTGGAATACCCTTTGCTTGTAGTATAAATTTCAAATCACCTCATAAGTTGCATAAAAATGAAATGTGTTCCCTTCATGAGTCAAACTACCATAGGACATCCAAAACACTTTGAAAACATTATGTATAATACAGTAGAGCCAACACACCATAAACATGTACACTAACACAACAATTTCACACACAAAATGGCTTACCAATGTATTTTCATAATTGAATTCTGTTGTCTTTCTAAGAGAAATTCTGTCATCAGTTAAAGTAACTTAATTTGCATGCATTATATGTGGTAAGACATCCAAGCTTAGGTAACTGTCTCTTCTGTCATCATAGTTATATCTTATCTTCAGTGTGGGTACGACTGGGCTTTATTCTGATCTCAGTCCCTGTGTCAGCTAGCTTGGAATCGTCACCCATCACTACAGCCACTATTTTGCTTATATCTCATGCTACTTATTCACATTATTCTATCATAGGATTCACCTGGAAAAATAACTCCTGGAACAATCCTAGGTTGACTAACCATGTGGGATTGCCAAGGAGTGGAGGGATTCCGAGGACCACAGGACTACCAGTGCTAAAACTGGGAATATCCCAGGCAAGCCAAGAAGGCTGGGAAGCTTGAAACCAACTGTCTAGTCATGCTCCTTCTCTGTTCCTTGCCCATTTTTCTCTGTGGACCCAGCTCACTCCTGGGAAACTATTTCTGCTCCTTACTCTCCATGGCATATCCAATGGGGCACCAATGATTATGTCCTTCCCTCTTGGGGTTTTCACAGCCCCCACAGGCCTTCTGTTGATGCAGTCTGAGAGCTAAGCATTGTTTTTCCTTTCTTAACACTATAATTGAACTTTAAATTTTGTGAGTTTCTGATCTACCTGCCTTCAGTCAGCTACATGTGGCAACAACCACAACCATTTTTCCCCCTAGACATAACTTTCAAGCCTGATTTCTTTTTGTCCCTATATCAGTCTCTCTCAATTTAATGTTAATTAGCTTGAGACCATCTGAAAATTAGGCTTGGAGCAAAAGACACTCAGAGCCAAGTCTCTTTGAATAACTTATAAATCTTAATGAACATTTTTCATCTCAACCTTTTTTACTTTCTTTCTTTTCTATTCCTGCTGTGATCAGGAGGCAGCTGAATTTTCAAACATGTGCAAGTCACAATGTTTTTAATCTAATCTCACCTATGTCTTTTGGTTCCATGCTAAAAGCAGAGAGTAAAAGATGTTATACCACATTTTGACTTTTTCCAATCTCTTATCCTAGAATACATCTCAGTAGACATATGGATTGCTTTTCAGGTTTGACATGTGGCATTTTATCTAATATTTTGCCACTGCATTTAAGAGATGCCTCCTTTCCAATCTAGATCAGTTTCTTACTGTCTTTTTTTGTGAATACTAGGACGATTTCTGTTTTGGCAGCACCCCACTTCAAAGGTAACAATTTTTGTACTGTTTCAGTTAATTCTAGCTCTTTTCAAAATACATTTCAGTGAGTTAACCCAATTGGATGGTGTCCACTCACACTGGAGAGGACTATCTGCTTTACGGAGTCCACTGATTCAAATGCTCATCTCATCTACTCATCTCATCTAGAAACACCCCCACAGACAGTCCCAGAGATAATGTTTAGCCAAATATCTGGGCACTCTATAATCTAGTCAAGCTGACACATAAAATTAACCATCACACCACTGAAAGAGTTGAAAGCTTCTATGTGTGCCCTGAAGGAGACCCTTGTCTCCTACAGCAGCAAGACTGAGATTGCTGAAAATTAAACTCAGAATCTTATCCTTCAACTGGCTGAACTGCAATGCAAGTTGAGCTCCCACCCTCACAAAGTTCTACTGTTAAAGGGAGGGCATTGATTGGGGAAGAATAGGATTTTGTAAGTTGGTGTAAGAATGGGTGGGAAGAAATTGATGAAGCTACAGTAATTGAGCCCAGATAATGCTGAGCTTTCTTTGCCAGTAGAAGAAGACTCCCACCCCCAGCAGAATTAGCTTCCCTATCCCCAGTAGAAGCAACCTCCCCAGCCCCACCTGAGATGACTCACTAACAGTGCATTGCCTAAGGAAACTGTAGTGGCTGGCCTCCCAGGAGGCAGTTGCCATGCAAGACAATGCTGATTCTCCCCAAAACCCACTCTCACCACCCCTATTAGTTTTTAGACTTATAACATGACCCAAGTTCCAGCAGGCCCCTAAAATCGAGTACAAAGTGTGGCCCTTAAAGAGGTAAACTACACTTCAAAAGAATTACTTGGTTTTTCTCATTACTACAGTCAGAAATCCAAGGAACATGTGTGGGAAAGGATACTAAAGGTGTGGGATAATGGTGGAAGGAACATAAAATTGGATCAAGACAAATGTGTTGATATGGGCCCAATAAGAATATTCTGGATTTAAGGTTGCAGCTCAGGGAGTTAGAAAGGGCTTTCATAGTTGGTTTGGTTGATTAGCTAAAATATGGGCCAAAAAGCAGCCCACAGTAAGCAAGTTAAAAATGTCAGCCCTGCTTTGGTTTAATGAAGAAGGACTTCAAAGGCTTAGGGAGACTGGACACATGCACTCTGGGAAGGTCCAGAAGACATACCTTTCACCACGAGTGTGAGAAATAAATGTGTGAGGGAAGCCCCAACATTCTCAAAGAGATCTGTGGTTGCTTTTCTCTATCGGACAGACCTCACAGTAGGAAGTGCAGCCACTGAATGGGGAAACCTAAACACATTGGAAGTAATTGTATTCTGGAGGGACAGTGGCCAAGTGGAGGCACTGTCCAATGGCAAGGTGGGTGTGTATGGTAAAGAACAGCAAAGCGAAAGCAGACATCAGAATACTGACTCAAAGACCTATGATGTTTGCTGGTTGATTATGGTGCTACTAGAAGTAAAATAGAAAGCTTACCAAATTCTTATTTGATCAGAATATGCAGAAAAGTTTAAGTCAAGTGAACACGACTATAACCTAAATTACAAGCAGACGGTCATGATCCCTTAATAAGTTGTCAGACTTGTGCCAGTTTTACAAACCCAAAACACCTTGAGCAAAGGTGAGGCTGGTTTCCCTTGAGGAATGACCTTGGCACACTACTGAAAATTTATACAGTTAATTTTTCTCTCAACCTTCCCCAAAAGGATGTACCTGCTTTTACTAGAGTAACTTGGCACTGGGTAAAAAGAAATAATAAGGCCTTTTGGGGACTGCCAGAAACTGTCTCTAAACTGACACCAATTTTAAGAGACAAAATGTCATTGCAGCCTACCCAGTCAGAGTAGAGGCTTATGAACCTCAGGTGATCAATGGAGTTTTACTTCAGGGCCATCTCACAGTGGTTCCAGTGGGTCCTTGAACCCATTCTGTGGTTATTTGCAAAGGCCCAGAATGCATAATTGGAATAGAAATACTCAGGAGCTTACAGAATCCCTACGTTCCTGACCTGTGTTCCCTGACCTGTGTGATGAAGATTATTATGGTAGGAAAGGCCAAGTGGAAGCCACTAGAACTGCATCTACTTGGGAAAATGATAAATCGAAAGCATGCTGCATCCCTGGAGGGGCTGCAGAGATTAGTGCCACCATCAAAGGGTTAAAGGTTGCAGGGCTGGCAATTCCCACTACATCCCCATTCAACTCACCTATTTAGCATGTGCAAAAGACAGATTAATCTTGGAGGACGACAGTGGATTATTGTAAGCTTAAATAGGTGGTGGCTTCAATTGCAGTTACTGTACCAGAAGTGGCTTCATTAGTTGAGCAAATTAACATATCTATGGGTACCTGATATACAGCTATTGATCTGGCAAATTTCCTTTTCTCCATCCTTGTCAATAAGACATACCAGAACCACTTTTTGTTCTAATGGTAAGGGCAAAACTACACCTTCACTGCCATACCTCTTGGATATATCAAATCTCGAGTCTTATGTCATGATTGCTTTTCCCTTCCACAATATATCACACTGGTCTGTTACATTGATGACATGCTTATTGGACCTAGTGAGAAAGAAGTAGCAACTACTCTAGACTTACTGGTAAGACGTGTGTGCCAGAAAGTGGGAAATAAATCTGACCAAAAATCAAGGGCCTTTTACATCAGTGACATGTCTAGGGGTCCTGTGGTGTGGGTCATGTCAAGATAACTCTTCTGAATTGAAGAACAATTTGCTGCATCTATCCCCTTCTACAACCAAAAAAGAGGTGCAATGCCTACTGGGCCTCTTTGGAGTTTGGAAGTAACATATTTCTCATCTAGGTGTGTTACTCTGGCCCATTTACCAAGTGACTTGAAAAGCTCCTAGCTTTGAGTGGGGCTGAGAGCAGGAGAAAAGTCTGCAGCAGGTCCAGGCTGATGTGCAAATCTCTCTGCCACTTAAGGCAATCCAATAGTGCTTAAAGTGTCATTGACAAAGAGGACTGCTGTCTGGAGTCTTTGTCAGGCCTCTTGAGGTAAATCTTACAGTGGGTCCTTAGAATTTTGGTGCAAGGCCTTGCCGTCATTGTCTGCAGATGACTACTCCCCTTTTACGAAATCGATCTTGGCCTGCTTCTGGGCCTTTGTAGACACTGAATGCTTAACCATGGGTTACCAAAATATCATATGACCTGAACTGCCCATTATGAACTGGATGTTATCTAACCCACCAGGTCATGAAGTTGGGCATGCACAGTAGCATTCCATCACCAAATGGAAGCAGTTCATACTTGACTAGGCGCAAGCAGGCCCTGAAGGAACAAGTAAGTTACATGAAGAAGTTGCCAAAATGCCCATGGTCTCCACTCCTGATATGCCACCATCGCTCAGCCAGCCTGTACCTATAGCCTCATGGAAGGTACCTTACAGTCAGGTCACTGGATGAGAAGCCTGGCCTGGGCCCGGTTTACAGATGGTTCTGCATCTGTTTTCATATGTCTTAGTCAGTTTGGGATACTGTAACAAATATACTATAGACTAGGGACCTCTAAACAACAGAAATTTATTTCTCACTGTTCTGGAAGTTGGAATCCCAAGATTAAAATGCCAGCATGGTCAGGTTCTGGAAAGAGCCTTCCTCTTTGTTGCAGAGAGCTAACTTCTCCTTTGATCCTCAAAAGGTGGAAGGAGATCTAGAGGGCTCCCTTGGGTCTCTTTTTATAAACGCACTAATCCCACTCAGGAGGACTCCACCCTCATGACTTAACTACCTCCGAAAGGCTCCATCTCCTAATGCCATCATATTAAGGGTTAGGATTTTAACACATGAATTGTGGGGAAGCATAAACATTTAGTTCATTTCACATGACATGCAGGCACCACACAAAAGCGGACAGCTGCAACACTAGAGCCTCTTTCTGTGACATCCCTGAAGAACAGATGTAAAGAGAAATCCTCCCAGTAAGCAGAACTTAGAGCAGTGCAGCTAGTTGTTCACTTTGCTTGAAAGTAGAAATAGTCAGATGTGTGATTGTATAGTGATCACGGGCTGTGCCAATGGTTTGGCTGGATGGTCAGAGACTTGGAAGGAATATGATTCTAAAATTGGTTACAAAGAAATTTAGGGAAATACGTGAATATAGACCTCTCTGAATGAGAAAAAACCACAAAGATATTTGTGCACCGCATGAATGCTCACCAAATGGTGATGTCAGCAGAGGAAGACTTTAATAATCAAATGGATGACCTGTTCTGTGGATACAACTCAGCCTCTTTCCCCAGCCAACCCTTTCATTGCCCATTGGGCTCGTGAACAAAGTGGCCATGGTGTCAGGGATGGAGGTTACAAGTGGACTCTGCAACACGGACTTCCACTCATCAAGGCCAACCCAGCTGTGGCCACCACTGAATACCCAATCTGCCAGCAGCAGAGACCACTGAGTCCCTGAAATGGCCCCATTCCCAGGGTGATCAGCCAGCTACCTGCTAACACATTGATTACATTTGTTCATTTCCATCATAAAAGGGACATTATTTATATTCTTATTGGAAAAGACATTTAAGTGTGAATATAAATTTGCCTTCCCTGAATACAATTCTTCTTCATAAACTACCATCTGTGGACTTACAGGTGTTTGTACCCACTTTCATGGTGTTCCACACAGCATTGCCTCTGATCAAGGAACTCCCTTCACAACAGAAGTGCAGTAATAGGTCCTTGTTCATGGAATTCAGTGGTCTTACTGTGTTCCCCACTATCCTGAAACAGCTGGCCTTAGAGAAGCCTGGAATTAATTTTTGAAGTGACAGTTACAGTGCCCACTGAGTGACAAAACCTTGCACAGCTGGGACACGTTTCTCCAGAAGGCTGCACATGCTCTTATTCAGCATCCAATATTTCATGCAATTTTTCTCATAGCCAAGATTCATAAGCCCAGGAACGAAGGGGCGAAAATGAGAGTAGCACCACTCACTATTATCCCTCAGAGCCACTAGAAAAATGTTTGCTTTCTGTTTCTGCAAGCTTGTGCTCTGATGGCCTAGAGGTCTTAATTCCAGAAGGAGGAACGCTTCCACCAGGAGACACAACGATGATTCCATTGAGCTGGAAGCTAAAAGCACTACCTGGCCACTTTAGGCTCCTCACGCCTCTGAGTCAACAGGCAAAGATGGGAGTTAGTTGCTGGCTGTGGTGATCGATTCTGACTACCAATGGGAATTTAGACTGCTACTCTGCAAAGGTAAGAAGAAGCATGTCTGAAATACAGGAGATCCCTCAGAGTGTCTCTTAGTATTACCCTGCCCTCTGACTAAGGGCAATGGAGAACCAAAACATCCCAATCCAGGCAAGACTAGGAATGGTCCAGACTCTTCAGAAGTAAAGGTTTGGGTCATAGAATTACAACCAGCTGAGATGCTTGCTGAAGGCAAAAAGTACAGAGTGGGTAGCTAAGAAAAGATTGTTATAAATAACAGCTACAATCATGTGGCCAGTTACAGAAACTAGCACTATACTTTTCTTAATTATTTACTCTTTATTTTGTTTTAATACATTATGTTTACCTCCTTTCTGGAAAAGGGGTTATTGCACTTTGGGTTGTTCATAGGATAGGTGTATTATGTTAGGCAGAATTATGACCTTGTTATTGTCTTTATTTGGAGGCTAAGTATGATTTAAGGAGATGAGTATAAGTGCCAAACTGACAAAGGATGGACTTGTGATGGTTAATTTCATGCATCAAGTTGATTGGATGATAGGGTATCCAGATGTTTGACTAAATATGATTTCTGATTGTGTCTGTGAGGAAGTTTCCAGATAAGATTAGCATTTGAATCAGTGACCCAGTAAAGCAGGTTGCTCTCTCCAATGTGAGTGGACATGATCCAATCTACTGAGTGCTTAAAAAGAACAAAACGTGGAGGAAAGGAGACTTTGCCCATTCCGCCTGACTACTAAACTGAAACTTTAGTTTTTTCCTGCCCTTAGACTGGGACTTACACCGTTGGCCCTCTTGAGTCTCCAGCTTGCAGATGACAGATCATGGGACATCTCAGCCTCTGCAACTGCATGAATCAATTCCTCATAATAAATCTTTTCATATATTTCCTATTGGTTCTGTTTCTCTGGAGAACTCTTAATAATATGCATAGCTTACAAAATCTTATATCTGCTGACATCTCAAAACCCATCTCTTACCACTCATTCTCATACTTTTCCCTCCAGCTGCACTAAGTCACTGTTAGATCCTACAGCTGGTAGTTTCATTCTCTTTTTCACATCTGAGACTTAATAGATGTTGTTTCTTCTGCCTGGTATCCTCTTCTCCCCATTTGTGCCCAAAGTTTTTCCTTGTGCAACTTTACGTATCTCACAGGTCTCACTTTGTCACCGACTCCTCAGGCATGCTTTCCCTAACCCAGGCCCAGGTTCAAGTTAAATACCCTTCTTACGTTGTCTCAGGGTAGCTCCCTCACATATTAACACTTAACAAGATGTGTATAATAACCCGAATAATTTTAGGTGTGGATTCCTCTGTGATACTGAGCATGCATGTCTTCCCTTTATAATTATGTGTGGCGTCTAGTACTCTTTTATGTATATAGTGGATGTTAAGAGCATGTTTGCTGCATTGACTTAAATTTAACTTATATGAGAAAATGTCTTTGAATAGTTGCTCAAATTATTTCCTTGTTATGAATAGAATAAAATGGTTAGGTGAGGTCATCCATTGTACATCCTTAAATTGAAGTTGGTAGACTGAATTTCATATGAGAAATCTTTCAGTGTCATCACCAAAATGAATCACGCATTTTTAGAAGCAAATGCAAATTGAGAAAACCAAATAAATAATTTGTGAGGAAATTTTACCTTTGCCTTGCAAACCAAATATATCTGGTGTAAAACATCTATCTAGTCACAACACCTATCTAGTCACAAAACTGCAGAAAAAAAATACACGTACTGTTTTAGATACAATTGATGGCTGCGGTCTGACACCTTATTATCTTAACTACAAAATTGTTCTTTGTTTTTTTGTGGGTTTTTTTTTCAATACTTACCAAATCTACCCTCAGTAGGTGCACATGTATTTAGTATCACTGACTTCAGGAAGAATAACAATAATGTAAAGTGTACTAAGTAGAATTACACCTTGGCTTTATATAAAATTAAATAAATAAAATGTGTTACATATTTCTTTGCAGCTTACAAGATGACAAAATAATTCAAAAATAGACAAATGACTCTTTCCATATTGGTTTTATTATACTAGCAGTAAGAGACTCTTGGAATTACCAATAGTAAATGAATTAAAAATATCTCATTTTTCAGTAACTTAACTATGTGAAACTCAGAATATATTTTAATTTGAATTAAACAAATGGTTTTTGCTCCCAAAATATATTTGACATGGCACTAGAAAATAAACCTTGAGAGAGACAAGTCTCTGCCTTCAAAGTTGACTTAAAGAAAAATTAAAAGTAGTTGAGCATCCACTTACATACACTGTGGAGAACACTGATGTAAAATGTTTACGTATATGAACTGATTCAATTTTCAACAAAGAAGAAAGCACTGACTTGAGCACAATTTTTAATCGCCATCTGTGGATGAAGAAACAGAACCCCACAGGGAGTAAGTAACTTGCCCGAGGCCACGTGCCTAGTAAGTGCTACAGCCAGAATTTGAATTCAGACAGTTTGGTTCCATAGTCCATGCTCACATCTCATGCAAGTTAGGCTGATAAAATATTCACAAATGCATAAAATGCAAGTCAGACTATGAGTACAAATTGTTAAATTAAAGCCCCTATGCATTCGCATATGATTTTTTTACTATCCTCTTCTTCTGAGTTCTCTCTCTTTTCTCTTAAAATGTTATATTTAATTGGAGACAACTTTATAGTCACGTGCAGATTTAAGAAATAATACAAAGAGACCCCTTCGTATAGTTTACCTAGTTTTCACCAATGACGACATTTTGCAATCCTATAGGACAGTATCACAACCAGGATATTGATATTGCTTTAGTTAAGACAAAAGGGCATGTTCACAGGTCCCTGTGGGCTGTCCCTTTTCTGGTCTTTTTGCTGGAAAGAGCTGGCTTTTCTTGGGAACCTTTTTTTCTTCTGTACCTGCTGTTACTGGGTTGCTAATTCTACATCTGGAAACTCACAGAACTCGCCACCATGACCATATCCTTTCTTGAATCCTAAGTCCCTGGCCTATTTGCCTGTTCTCCACCTTTCAGAGTTCCCTTTTGTTTGTTTTATTATGTAAGACCCATGGTATTTATTTAGACTTAGCAGAGAAACAGGGGAAAAATATCTACTGTATCTTTCCTGAGGCAGTCTCATTAAAAAAAAAAAAAAAAAAAAAGGCTAATCTACACTTTCATTTCCATACTCAACTCCCACTCACTTCCTGGGAAAGTTATTGGTATAGGTTACTCATCCATTCTCTATTTTCCCATCCCATCTAGTGATGATCTTGACAATAACATTTACCACTGAGTGCAGTTATGGTATGCTTACCTATCTGTAAAACTTGGAAGAAGCCTTCCAACTTGCAACTCGGGATACCAAAAGCACATCAGAGATTGTGATTTCTCACCACATGCCATTCAGGGAGAATATGCCAAACTCATTCCATTTCTGGTGTGTGTAGTGGAGAGGCTGGTGGGGGGACTCTCAGCTAGGAATGCACCAAGGGCCTGCTGGAATAGAAGCAATATAAAAGTAGCTCTGTAAGGAATCTAATCTATACTAAGGACATAAGAGTGCAGGGTCACCTCCACAAAACTTTTCTCATGCAAATGAATTTCTAATCCTTTTGTTTGTCCCTAAGTTCTCAGGAAGTAGATGGTATGCCTCACTACTCAGAACTTCTAACACATTACTCTCTTCAGGGCCAAAGTCACTGGTTCTTTCCTGAGCTCTTATCACTAAAGTTGTATTTCAGTCAGCCCTCCCCATTTGTGGAATCCACATCTATGAATTCAAATAAAACAGATTGAAAATATTCAGGAAAAAATTCCACACAGTTCTAAAAAATAAAATTTGAATTTTGTGTGCCGAGTAACATGTTGAATGCATGCAAATGAAGTGATGTGTAGGCATGGAATGAAGTATTGTAAGTAATCTAGAGATGACTTAGGGTATACTGGATGTGTGGAGGTTATATGCAAATGCTATGCTGTTTGATATCAGGGGCTTGAGCATCTGAGGATTTTGGTATCTGCGAGAGGATCCCGGAACCAATTACCCGTGTATACCAGGGTTGCCTTTATTTTGCCAGGGCTTTCATAACAAAGCACCACAGAATGGTTGGCTTAACCAACAGAACTGCACCGCCTTACAGTTCTGGGGGCTAAAAGGCTACGATCAAGTTGCTAATGGGGTTGGTTCCTTCTGGGGACTGCGAGGGAAGGAACTGTTGAGGCCTTCCTTCTCGCTCTTAGCATTTTCTTGACTTGTGTCAACATAATTCTTTTGCACAGCATTCCTCCTGTCTATGCATCTTTACCAAATTTCCCTTTTTGATACGGACACCAGTCATGTCGGAATAGGGCCCATCCTAATGACATCATTTTACCATAAATACTTTTTTAAAGACCCTGTCTCAAAATAAGGTTACATCCTGAGATATTAAGGGTTGAGATGTCAATATATAAATTTGGGGAAGACACAACACAATCTATAACAAAGGCCATAGATCTTAAAAGGTTTATGGATTTCTATTGCCTTTAACAACTAAATTCTCTACTAGATTATAACAAAGACAGTGACCAAATCATTCTGTCTCCTCTCCATGTCTATCTTTACTATAAATCTGTACTTAAAATAAATATTTTGGAATGCTAAAGATTTAAATAAATGTATTTACATGAATGGAAAAGCTCCTACAAATTATTTTGTCTCTATTTCTTTTTTTTTCCAACATTTTTTGTCTTTGCTTTTCACTTCTTTGAGAGGCAGCATTGTATAATGATTGGAAAGGATGATATCAGATGGTCAGAGTTAACCTGCAGAATATACTTGTTAGGTATGTTATTTAAAAGTCAGCTGGTCGCAGTAGCTCACGTCTATAATCCTAGCATTTTGGGAGGCTGAGGTAGGTGGATCGCTTGAGCCTAGGAGTTCAAGACCAGGCTGGGTCTTGAGCCTAGGAGTTCAAGACCAGGCTGGGCAAATGGCAAAACCCCATGTCTACTAATAATACAAAAAACTATCTGGGCATGGTGGCGCATGCCTGTGGTCCCAGCTACGCAGGAGGCTAAGGTAGGAGAATCACTTGAGCCCAGGAAGTGAAGTCTGCAGTGAACTGTAATTGTGCCACTGCACTCTAGCCTGGGTGACTGAAGTGAGATCCTGTCTCAAAAATAAATAAATAAATAAATAAAACAATCTTCACCTCACCTTACTTAAATGAAAAATGAGAAAAGTAGTGGTACTGATTATATACAGTTGTGGTGAGGAACAATGTGATATATTCCAATCCTCAAGCTTCCAACTCTAGAAAATTGCATGTCTATTACAGTAAACTTGACATTTTATCTCTTTTGGTGTTCACATGATATTGTCTCTTTTTTTCTTTTTTCTTTTTTTTTAAGACAGTCTTGCTGTGTCACCCAGGCTAATGTCCAGTGGTATGATCTCAGCTCACTGTAACCTCTGCCTCCTGGGTTCACTTGATTGTCTGTTTTAAAATAAGTAGAGATTTTTGTTGTGCTTCATATGCTAAGTAAATTTTATTTGTATCTTGAATATTTTGAATTATTTTTAATTTTAGAATTGTTTTGGGTTTTTATTCTTTAATTGGCAAACAATAATTGTACAAATTCATGGGGAACATAGTGATGTCTCAATACATATAATGTATAGAGATCAAGTCAGGGTAATTAGCATATCATCATCTCAAAAGTTTATCATGTCTTTGTGTTAGGAACATTCAATATCTTCCTTCTAGCTATTTGAAATGATATATTACTGTTAACTCTAGCTATCCTATGGTGACATAGCACACTGGAAATTGTTTCTGCTATCTGCTGTGGTTTTGGATCCTTCACTGGAATATTAAATATGAGACTCCAGCTCTGACGTATAGTCTATAGAGAATGTTGATATTTTTGTAGACCGTGGTTGAAATGCCACCTGTTTTCAGATCCTTTGCAGGGCTATTCTGTGCTATCTGGTGGTCAGTCTGGGATATGGCCAGGAGTCCACACTTGGCTTCATTCCCACATGTTCAGTATGTAATTAGGATGAGGTCCACACAGACTGGACAAAGACAGGAGTTTATACAATTACGTTGTAGGGTCATTTTCCATCATTTTTCAGTGTTTGCCCCCTTCCCAGGGTTCCCATTTTCAATCCTTGTCCAGAAACAGTTCACTTCCTTGATTTGCCTTCTGTGACCCGGGGCCGAGCAGTGAGAGGACCTGCAGAGAGGAACAAACACTACAGATGTGGCATTGCCATGTCTCAGCCACAGCTCCACAAAACAAAAGGAAGGATTCTTCCCTCGGAATTTTGACACCTCCAGCTCCACTTCTGAAGATGTTGCTTTGCTTTTGCCTCTGCCTGAGACAGCCCAGGGGTGAGGCATGAGCAAATAGATAAAATGGAAAGAAAAAAATTCCTGGAGGATTTTCCCCATTCTCTTTGAGCTTTAAAAGTTTCCTTTTCCACTGTGTGAGCAAGAACTAGAGAGCATTTCCTAGCTCTCTCTAAGCTCACACCACAGTGGTTTGGGTTATGTTTTGTTAAGGAGGATACTAGAAGGAAAATAATATCCACCTTATCACTGTTTGGTGGTGGTCAGATTCTGGTCACCTCTGTCCTACATAACACATACACCTACACATACATACAAACACAGACACACACACAATCACACTATGTATATAATATACATGCTATTCAGAATCCTCACCATCTACCCATGCATTTTGTCAAAGTTTTATAGCTGAGTTCAGTGAGAATTAATAAAAAGAAGTGTGTGATTACTCCATCTTACCCAAATTCAATTTAGATATTTTCATTTGCATTATTATTAATGAGCCTTTTTAAATGATGCTGTTGGCTATTTATATTTTCCATCATAAATTATATGCTTTTGCTTTCAAAATTTTTTTTTCCTATTAGTTATCTGTTCTCCTCATTTATTTTATGAGTTCTTCCTGTATTGTGTTAGGAATAACAATATACTTGGCTACATGTATTGAACCAGGAGTGTGCCTGCTCCTTTCAAAGGCCAAGCCTACCCAGCTTTGCTTTGAATTCCTTTCACTGTTGCTTTATTCATGAATTTACATCTGTAGTTATTTCCCTTCCTTCTCTTTTATCTCTAATTTCACTTTCTTTCTCAGATCATGTCTTTGACATAAAATCATGCTATACTATATTTACATAAGAAATTGACCCTTAACTTCACTTCTTTCTCATAATATCTCCTTCTTACTCTACCCATTTTACAGAAAGAAATAATGTAAACATATGTAATTGTCCACTGAACATACTTTATTTAATCCTCTAATTCTTGAAACTTAGTTTTATTCCCACCACTACACTGAAATTGCTCTTGCTGAGGTTAAAAATCACCTCCATGCAGCAGGGTTCAATAGTCATTTCTCATCTTAATCTCTTTCAACACATTCATTTGGATTCCTCAACAGCATTCACTTCCATGTTCCTGCTGAGATGCCTTTGGTGGTCCATCCCCCTCCCTACCTGTATATGTGGGGTCACCCTTGGCTCCATCCTGACCATGCTTCTCTTCTTATTTTATATTCATGATCAAAATTCTTAGCAAACTAGGAAGGTAAAGGAATTTTCTCAACCTAATAAAAGGTATCTACAAAAATCTGATAAGTAACATTGTATGTAATGGTGAAAGACTGAATGCTTTATTCATAAGAACTGAAACAAGCACAGTTGTTCACTTATAATACCTCTTCTACAAATTATTGAAAGGCCTCAGCAATGCAATAAGGCAAAGAGAAGAAATAATAAGCATACAGATTAGAAACAAATAAATAAAGCCCTCTTATTTTCAGATGACATGATTATCATGTTAGGTATTCACAAAGAACAACAAAGAAACCACTAGAACAAATAAGTGACTTTAGGATCACCATGGACCACAAGGTAAATTTTTTAAAATCAAGCTAGGAATATACAATTTAAATTTTTTAAAATGTCCTTTAAAATAGACCAGAGACACCATAAAATTATTTTGCATAAATCTTCCAAAATGTATACAAGACTTGTGTATTAGTCTGTTTTCACACTCCTGATAAAGACATACCCAAGACTAGGAAGAAAAAGAGGTTTAATTGGACTTGCAGTTCCACATGGCTGGGGAGGCCTCAGAATAATGGTGGGAGGTGAAAGGTACCTCTTACATGACGGTGGCAAGAGAAACCAAGAAGAAGGAAAAGCAGAAACTCCTGATAAGCTCATCAGATTTTGTGAGACTTATTCACTATCACAAGAATTGCACATGGAAGATCAGTCCCCACGATTCAATGACCTCCCCCGGGTCCCTCCCAAAACACATGGGAATTCCAGGAGATACTATTCAAGTTGAGATTTGGGTGGGGGCACAGCCAAACCATATCAACCTATGTACTGAAAACTACAAAACACTGATGAAGGAAAATGAAGAAATTTTAAATAAATAGAGAGATATTTCACGTTGATTGACTGAAAGGTTCAATATTATTTACAATATTATTACAATGTTAATTCTTCTAAAACTGATCAATAGATTCAACTAAAATTGACACAATATAATGGCAAACATTTTTGTAGAAATTACAAAGATCATTCTAAAATTTATAAAGAAATAAAAAGGAACTGAAATAACCAAATTTTAAAAAGAAGAACAAAATTGGAGGAATTACTCTATTTAATAGATTTATTATAAAGCTACAATATTTAAAACATAGTATATTTGAAGAAATGATTTACATATTAGAATTAATGGAACAAAATAGTCTATAAATTGAACCATATAGAAAGTCAATTGATTTTTAGACAAAGACAGATGCAAAGGCAATTCAATGGGGAAAGAATTGTCTTTTCAACAAATGATGCTAAATGAATTGGATATTTATAAGAGAAGAAAAAACCTGATAAGCATCTTGCATTCTATTAAAATGAACTCAAAATGGACTATAAATCTAAATGTCAACATTTTGCAAGAGATAACATTAAAGACATGGACAATAACAATTTTAGTGAATGAAATTAAAAGATACTCAACTAGAATGCTTTGATAAGAAAATGTAATTATGGAAATGATGTCAGTGAGCAGAAACAACACTCAGTAAGTTTTATAATCTGAAAGAGAAGGAATAGGAATAGGACTGGCTGGAGGGGGAAGTGAGAACAACAAGATTTTTCTGAAAGTTGGAGATAATAGATTACATTTGCATTTCCATATGACTGCCACACTAGAGAAGAAAAAATTTATGATTCAGCAGGCAGAAGGAATAACTTTAGCAATAAAATATTGAAACAATTGACATCATAAAATGGTCCATTGGGTATTGATTATCTCTCCAAAATGAATTTTGCTCCTGTCCATTGTAGAGTATCAATGGCATTTGGTTAGAATTGAGTTTACTTCCCAATTCAAGATGAACATTTAATGGCCAAGGCCCACCATTATTTTCTCAGTAATGTTTATTGCAAACACAGGCCTAAACACATGGTTGTTTTCTGAACACACTGACTCAGAAGTCCCCTAATCGTCCCAAAACTGAGGGGTCAGATTTGGATGATTATGGAAGGAGACATGCTTCTTAAGAGTAACGAGGAAGTGGGTAATCCATGTTGCTGAGGACCACCATCTTGTAGACATGAAGGAAGCCATTTTAGCATGGAACAACAAGTCAGGAGAGGTTAAGAGGGGAGTAATGAGTCAAAAAAATTGAGGTAAATCAAGCAAGAGCCTTGATCACACCTTTTATGAAATTTGCTCTCCCTTGAAATATGGGAGATATGAGTCAATAATAAATCTTCTTTTAGCTTTGCATTTATTTTATCTGGGTTTTCTATTACTTACCCTTTCCCCTACACACACAAACACACACACACACACTCTAACATAAAGCATATTGTTACTTTTTAGTAGGTATTCTCAATGTGGCCAATATTACTGCCAGCAAAGTAAAAATTGGTTTTTGGGGAGCAAGGCGTCTCGCCAGTTTTACGTGTAAAGCACAGATGTAGATATGGATGCACAGTTAATAGACAGATACTCAATATACCTGTTGTGCTAAAATTAGGGAAAAGAGTCTAAAAACATTTCTGGAATAAGAGTTGGAGAAACACTGCTTTATGGAGCATGAAGACACTCTTCTTTGTAACAGGAGTGAAGACAGAGGCTTAAGCACAGACGCACCTACACTAGTAGATTTGGTGAAAAACCTATGATGGAATGCTGGTATCTTCTCTTCTTCCTTTGTGAAGAAGGAAGTGTGATTTCTGCTCGGTGAAGGTGCATGGAGAAAATGTTGGAGTCCTAGGAAGAGTTGATGTCAGAATCATCTCACTGAAAACTGGGGGCTGCAGCCATCTGGGCAGTACTGAGAGCCTCATCCTGCCTTTGAGCCTGTGGCTGCTGAGGCCCTGCTCCTTCCTGCTGGCCAAGATAGCCATTCCCATCATCATGACATAGGCTATTCACAGCTTCTATGTTTTCCAGAGCTGCCATTCTTGTAAAGCTCTTTACAGAGCTTGTCCGCCTACTAGGAAATTTAGTAAAGTCTGTAGTTCACATCTTTGTTAAGTGTAAGCCCCTGATTCACATTGACAGTCAGTAACGACCATAACTAAAGGCACCTTCATTTAGCAGCAGACTCTTACTTTATGATGGAGTTGTAAACACACACCAGGCCATAATTTTATTCTCATGGGCCAGCACATAGACCTATATCTACGTGTATGTTAATGTTTAGATTCAAGCAGGAAACAAGGTATAGTGAAAAATACCAAGTGCTTTTTTATTTCTCACAGATGTGCACAAGAATGTGCCTAGAAAAGTATATCATTTTAGCACTATTCATTGTCGATGAGTCTAAACATTGTAGAAAACAAACACATTTAAAAAGCTATCCCATTTATGATTTCTATCTTCTGTGGGCAAATGGGGCAATGATTTAATTTGTACCTTTGTTATTCTTTTTATTTTTTTTTGTTCTTTCTGGAGAAAATACAAGATTTTGAGAATTATAAAAAAAAGTTTACTCTTATGAAAAAGCAAAAAAATATAAACAAACAGAAAGCAAAGTGCCTGAGATAAATCACAAACTTTAAGTGGACGCTATTTTCCTTATTTTAAAATTAATCTTTAAAGCAAAAATCTTAGTAAAATAAATTCAGTACAATATTTAAATTTCCTGTTGTCTAGGAACCCACAAAAATAAGCATATTATCATTCCTTTCCTGCAACTAATTAAAGGAAGAACTATTTTTAACCATTCACACCCGGCACTTGCCAACTTTTTCTTCCCAAGGACTCACGTATCAATGGCTCAAGCTCAGCGAATTTGTCCTCTCTCCTGTGCCCATCCAATATGTTTCACTTGGCACTGAGTGTACTCTTCATTCTCATCAGCAAGGAGGTGGCAGGTGTGCAACTCATTTCTCAGGAAGAATATACTTTAGAATGATATGCACGCTTCTGTTTACTCAACCAACACTATATTATAGTAAAAATCTTAGCCCTTAGCCTCAGGGTCTTCAACCAAATAGCAAGTACCCAACATTTCTTTCTTCATTTGCACAGTAGAAAAGACCAAGCTGATGCATATAGACAGGTAGAAAAATTTGTTTTATTTAAAAATAGATGTCAATTAAAAACTGAATGTATTCAAGATATACAGGATGTAATTTCCCTAAAAATAAGAAGCAATTTGAGAATTTGACACATTACCTACTATACATAGACAAGTCCAACATTTAACATTGCCTCAAGATTTTGCTTGAAATGCTCAATCTAAATGATTATGTCCCTTCTCATGCCCAAAGGCAGATGTTTTTCAGACTAAAGTGAATGGGTCTCTGCTGATTTCTGGAAGAACAAACTTTAAGGGAAAAGAACTAAACAGGCATCATTAAATGGCGAGTTTTTAAAAAAAAATGCATACAGTACTGAAAAATGCAGTTATACAAAAATAATTAAGTTCTTTTTTCTAGTGATTTTATCCTAGTAAATGACCAGAGATTTAAAGTAAGATTTCTATATAATTTCTATGTCTTAACATAATGATGGTTACCACCCATTATTTACACTAGGGAGAACTGAAATAAAATAAATGTCCAGTAATAATAGCTTGTCTAAATATATTGCAATACAGTTATAGATAAAATACAATGCATTGTTCAAAATTTTATTATCATATATCTGAAGATTATTAAATTACATGGAAAATATTACTTGAAATCATGACCAAAAATTTATGTCAAAAATGAGTGCTATTTTCAAGTGGCATATGTGAATATGTTTACACACATACACACTTACATTGACATATAAACATATATATGTATTTAAAAAAATACTGTAGTTTGTCCTTGCTCTAGACATGGAGAAATCATCAGAGGTTTTTATGCAAAAATAATAAAGATTAGACTTGGATTTTAGAAAGAATAATTTGACATCATTATGAGAGATTTATTACAGGGTCCATAGCTGGACCAAAGAGAATAATTAGAAAGTTATTGTGCTAGACTAGCTTGGGGAAAAATAAACAGATAAGGATTTGACCTAACGCACTAAGGGAATGAAGCTAGAAAAAGAAAAAGAAATAGAAGAAATGAAGTGAGAAAATAGCACCATCCATACGACTATAAATGGCAAAGTGTTTGGTATTTTCTGTGTATCTGCGTGTATGTATTCGTACCTTGAGAGGAAAAGCTCTAGATGATTGTGTGTATTATTTGAAATTTTGAGGAACTAACTCCCAGACTCAAACTCATAGACAGAAAATGTCTCAGGGCTCCTTGAAGAAAGAACTTTGTCCTATCACTCACTCTTTGTTCCTCCATCTTCCAGTACAGTGCTTGTTCCACAGTGGAAAAGCTGTCAATATTATTGATTTACAATTGATTGGAAGAATGCAGGCAAAGTGCTCCGCTCCTTTCTGAAGCAAGAAGGTTACCTTTGTCTTTGCCACAAAGTCAACATCCTAAAGTCTCTTTTACACAGGTTCATGTGTATGTTATTTCTGTATTTCATTAAATAAGGTTCAATATTGAAAATAACATACATTGAACCAAACTCTAACACACCTTATAGCTACTTACAGCATTTAAAATTTGGACAAATATGCTGTGAGAATAAGGGAACAATGTATTTCCCCAAAGATTCTATTAGTTGCCAAGAATCCAATACTTGTCAGGAACTTTAGCTAAATTTTCACTCCTTCCTTCCTGTATACACTTCACAAAGACCAATTGCCTCCCACGTAAGGAGGAGACGATCAATATCCATCACTTTCCTTGACTAGCATCGGGTCTACGAAAGTTCACGGTGGTCGAGTTTGACAGAACTTTTCACCTCGTCTGAAGTAAAAGTTATTGAACTTGATTTGGACACTGAGTCGCACTACTATAAATGCTTCAGTTGCTACAGGACTTACTAAAAAAAATCAAATACTGGAATCAAGAAGTTAGAAGTGCAAGCACAGGTCAAGTGAGGGTCCTCAAACTTAAAGAGATGGTGCTATATGGAAGGCTTGGAGAATGGCAGAGGCTGAAGTCAAGGAAGGGCTCACATTTAATAGATTTGGGGGCTTGAGGGCCACATTTTAATAAATGGCCGTTTTTCTGACTGAAAGAAAAATTTATAGAATAATTACTTCATTAAATTTCTACTACAGGTATAAAAAAACACACTTTTTTAGTTTAATGATAGTTTTATTTTAAAAACAATACATTGTCATTGTAGAAAATTTGAAAATACAAAAAAGCAAAAAAACAAAAAAAGACTGAAATGGTCATAATGCCACAATCTAAAAATAATCAATGTCTACATTTTGAAGTATGTGTTAAACTACTTTAGTGTGCATATGTATTAAAGTTTGTACGTGCTTGTGAATGAGATGTAGTATTTGTATTCTACTTTTTTTCACTTAACATTATACTAAAAGTTTTTTGGTTTTTTTTGTTTTTTTGAGACAGAGTCTCACTCTGTCACCCAGGCTAGAGTGCAGTGGCACAATCTCGGCTCACTGCAACCTCCTCCACCTCCCAGGTTCAAGGGATTCTCCTGCCTCAGCCTCCTGAGTAGCTGGGATTACAGGTGTGCACCACCACACCTGGTTAATTTTTGTATTTTTAGTAGAGAGGGGGGGTTTCACCAAGATGGCCAGGCTGGTCTCGAACTCCTGACCTTAGGCAATGCACCTGCCTTGGCCTCCCAAAGTGCTGAGATTACAGGCATGAGCCACCGCACCTGGCCTAGTAAAAGCTTTTTTACAAGACTTAAAAGGCTCATTTATATTGACTGCATAAGATAAAATAATATGGCTTTTTATTATTTATTGAAATAATCTATTTAGGACACTTGGATTATTTTTAATATTGTGTTTTTATGACAAATATCAGGCCACACATGCATAAGGATAATTACTGGAAAACATCTATGATTATTTTTACAGTATGAATTTCTGGAAGTTACATTGTGGGAACTAAAATTTTAAGAACAGTTATCTGCATTAGAGTAGCAATGTAATTCAGAGGGTAGAGCACAGACCCTGGAGGAGACAGCCACGATTTCAAATTCTATTTATGCTACCCACCTGCTGTAAACACAGGCAAGTTACATGAGCTCCTAACATTTTATTTTTTCTTATATGTGATTAGACATAAAAAATAGTTTAGTTTTATAAGATTTTTTAGGCAAAATAAACAAGATGCACATTATTTCTTGGTAAAAAGTGAATGCATGGAATAAGCATTCAATAAATATAAGATTGTTTCCATTTTTAAATAAAATGGTGTCCAGTATGAAATGTGCTGTGATCCTTAAATTTGTCCCAGATTCCCATGCTTTTTAAATTTTATCTGAGATTCCATTTGAGAGTTTAAAATGCCTCTGATGTCTAAGGATGAACTGATTTAGGTGATTCACTTTGGTGTGTGGCTGTTTTCTAAATTGGCTTAAAGTCTCGGCTTAGTAGCTGGGAAGGTAAATGTGCCATATCTGTGATGGTAATACAATTGCTTCGAGTATATTTGAAGAGAATAAGAAATAGTTTTGCTGCATTCCATAAATACTGAGTTCTTGATTCCAAACTTTCCAGAAACAAAATAAACTTCCAACAATTACCACTGTACTGTGTAGAGATGAGAGGATGTAATCATGGTATAGCAACCTCTCAGTGTTTTTTTTTTTTTAAAGCTCTGACCTGGGAGTGTGACTATGAGCAGTTCATAGCTTAGTTCTTGTTATTTCCAGATATTGCCTAAGATGACCTTGAATCTATTCTGCACCACCTCTGTCACCAGTGAGTAGCTTAGAGATGTAGATCTGTGAATCTCTGTTATAACAATGTATCAGCCTAGTGCAAGGATGTAAGAAAACAGGCACACCTATGTTTATTGGGGCACTATTCACAATAGTAAAGACTTGGAACCAACCCAAATGCCCATCAATGACAGGCTGGGTAAAGAAAATGTGGCACATATACACCATGGAATACTATGCAGTCATAAAAAAGGATGAGTTTATGCCCTTTGCAGGGACATGGATGAAGCTGGAAACCATCATTCTCAGCAAACTAACACAAGAACAGAAAACCAAACACCACATGTTCTCACTCATAAGTGGGAGTTGAACAATGAGAACACATGGACACGGAGGGGAAGATCACACACTGGGGCCTGTAGCAGGGTGGGGGTCTAGGGGAGGGATAGCATTAGGAGAAATACCTAATGTAGATGATGGGTTGATGGGTGCAGCAAACCACCATGGCAGGTGTAACAAACCTGTACATTCTGCACATGTACCCCAGAACTTAAAGTATAATAAAAATAAAAAAAAGAAAACAGGCATTTTTAAATTTTATAGTACAACTTGAACAAATGATAGAAAGAAAATCTTTATTTTTCCTTTCCATACGTGATTAAATCAGGGCTTTATTTTACATCTTTCTAACAGTAATATTACTAAGAGGTCTTATTTATTAAGCACCAACCATGTGCCATGTATTTACATCTGTTATTTTATACTTAGTGATTGTTCCCATCTAGACCACGATTGCCATATTAGGCATTATCAAGCCATGCCAATGTGAAAGGAAAATAAATCCTGGGGCCCCCACATCAGTAAGCTAAAGGGAAAAGTCATGCTGAGAATCGCTTAGGGCAAACCCGCCTCCCATTCTATTCAAAGTCACCCCTCTGCTCCCTGAGATCAATGCATATCTGATTGCCACATTTGGAGAGGCTAATCGCTAATCAAAAACTCAAAAGAGTGCAACTATTTGACTCTTGTCTACCTATGACCTGAAAGTCCCCTCTCTACTTCTAGTTCTCATGCCTTTGCCTCGAGTTGTCCCACCTTCCCGGACTGAACCAATGTACATCTTACACATATTGATTGATGTTTTATGTCTCCCTAAAATGTATAAAACTAAATTGTGCCCCTACCACCTTGGGTACTTGTCGTCAGGACCTCCTGAGGCTATGTCATAGGTGTGTGTCCTCAACCTTGGCAGAATGAACTTTCTAAATAAACTGAGACCTGTCTCAGATTTTGGGGGTTCACACCCAATAATTTTTGTTTCAGGTTGAGATTGAGAGTTAAATGAAGAAAGAAATGTTCAGTGTAATACTTTAATATTCGAGAAAGTCATATGAGGATTCCCAGCTGAAAATAACAAGCATGATCAATGAGACACAAGGCTCCAGAGAGCAAAATTCGCACCCCTGAGAGGCTTTAATAGAAACAGTTTGCAAATTCTATTTGTAGGCAGATGCAGAAAATGGACCTTTACCCCCTCTCTGATTACATCACCAATGGTGTTAGGGTTTCAACAAAAACTCCAGGATTTAGAGAACATCTGCTGAACTTTTGAAATAAGGAATTGAGAATTCATATACAAGCTTCCACAACTAGTCTTGAAGAAATTACCCAATATTCCAAATTATGAATATTTAGAATATAAAAATGCATGCATATAGAGCATGCCTTTTTTTCTTCAAAGTCCCGTCACTCTTAAACTCACTTCAGTAGCCATCAACCCAACAATAGACAACTACCCACTCCAGTAGATACTTACCAAACAGTAGACATCTCCCCACTCCAGTAGATACTGACCCACTCCAGTAGGCATCTACCCACTCCAGTAGATATCTACCAACTGCAGTAGACATCTACTTACTTCAGTAGATATATGCTCACTCCAATAGACATCTATCTACTCCAGTAGACACATATCTACTCCAGTAGACATCTACTCACTCCAGTAGACGTGTACTCACTCGAGTAGACATGTACCAACTTCAGTAGACATCTATCAACTTCAGTAGACATGTACTTACTCCAGAGACATATGCCTACTCCAGTAGACACCCATTGACTCCAGTAGACACCTGTCCTCTCCAGTAGACATTAACCAACTTCAGTAGACATTAACTTACTCCATAAGACATATGCCCATTCCAGTAGACATCTATCCACTCCAGTAGACACCTAACAACTTAGTAGACGTCTACTTACTCCAGTAGACATATGCTTACTCCAGTAGATATCTACTCACTCTGGTAGATATCTACTCACTCCAGAAGCCACCTATCCACTCCAGTAGTCACCTGTCCACTCCAGTATACATCTAACCAATAGCACGCATCTAACCTACTCTTGCTAAAGTCACCAATGATGCTCATGTTGGTGACTTCAATTGACATTTTTAAGTACTTATCTGACTTCTCACAGCTTCCCACTAGCTTCTGTCTTGAAACACTCTCTTCTCTTGATACTTGCAATACCACAAATTATAAGTGTTCTTTATTCCTCTTTGGCAGATCTTTTTGAGTCTCTTGTGCAAACTCAACTTTCATTCCTTTTTTGCAGTCCCCCTTTCACTAGTTTGTTTCTAGATTCTGAAATTTGGGATTCATTCTGGTACAACATCTTACATGATATGATGCTATGAGTCCTGCTTATTCTAAATGTACATACGTCTTCACCTCAAACCTATACACCTTCAAATTCACCTGACTGTGTTTCCACTGATCCCACAGGTATCCCCAAAACATAACCAAACTCCAACACTTCAAATATGAATTTCTCATCTGTTACTTTAACAGTGTTTCCAAGATAAATCATTACTGGTACTTCTGTACCAATAATCATTTCCCCTCAATGCCTTTAAAACATGAATATCACACTTTCCCTCAATGCCTTTAAAACATGAATATCACACTTTTCTTCAATGCCTTTAAAATATGAATATCTTTAAACCTAACTGGAATCTATACCCTTGGCTTTATAAAAACGAAAAAGACAGGATCAGCTCCCCAAAGAACTAATGTCATAGTTATTTAACTGGCTCCCTGTTTCATCCTTGCCCCTGTCTAATCTATTCTCTGCAATGCCGGCAAGATGATCTCCAATGTGAAAACACAAAAAGAACAATTTAAAGTTTATTCAGCCTAAAACCATTACACTTAGAATATAATGTGAAATCCTAGTAACATCTACAAGGCTTTATATAATCTGAGCCCTGACAACCTGATCAACCTCATCTTATGCTTCTCATTTGCGAAATCAATTTCCCTCTCCTGTTTCCTCTCTCTTTCTCTCTCCTCTCCCGTTGTATTTGTGTGTGTGTGTGTGTGTTTGTGTATGTATGTGTTTAAAATGAGCATTATCAGAACCAAGCAAGCAAGAACAACTATCTCTACACAGTTTGTCCTTGGAAGTATTTCAGAATATAACTAAACTCTAAGCTTCTTCGTTCATTCATCACCATATATCACCATGCATTATTTGCAGGCCAAGTTTTTCTAGGCAACGTGGACATATTTGACCCAAAATTATCCTGAGTTCTCCACATGAGGGCGCCCTTATATGGGCCTCCACTCCACATTTATTCCTTTGAAGACCCACAACCTAAATAGGATGTTGCTGCCCTTCACCACTACAAGCCATGTGGATTGGCAGCATAACTGCTCCTCAGTTACTGCTTTGTTGTTCTGGCGGCACTGGCTTCACCATTACACCACATATTATAGCTATACACAACACCGCTGTGCGCAGGCTTACAGACAGGGCTGTTACGTGGACTGTTTGATATCTGAGGGAGAAGCCTAGAGAGGTATGCTAATATTTACCATCACATTAATGTTTTCACCACCAAAAGAAAAGCTGCTAGGAAGCTAAATCCTTTTTTCCCCCACCCCCAAAGGGCCTATTCCTGGCATACTGCCATTACATAGCACAAACCTGTTCTCAGGTTCCCATCTCTCCTGCAACTCCTTCTTCTTTTAAGCTCCTCCCTAGGAATAGCCCTCCACTCTTTTAGAACCTCACCAATACTCAAAGGGGAGATCACTTTCCCTCTTACCTCTCTATTAGCGCATTTTCCTCCATCCCTATCATTCGCCGGCGAATTTGACTACTGTGGATTCTAGCACTAGTTATTAATTTATCAATTATCATAAAATTGTCCCAAGGAATGGACTCCGTTGTTATAAACAGAGCCCACTTTAGGTAGGAATGGTCCCTTCATGCCAGATCTCCATGCAATACTTCACTGGCATGTGTTGCACAGATGCCTATGTATTTTCTCAAATAATTTTCAAGGTTTAACTTTCCAACCTGTTTGATACAGCAAATATATATTCTCAGAGGCTACGTAGTTTAAGGCTGTCATGTGGAAAAAGATAAATCACTGAAAGTCACATAATTTGAACATGTTCCCAGAATAATGTTTACTTTCTCTCCACTTCTGCAGGGTCCTCCTCCAGACTGGCTGGGACTGAGAAAAAGCCCTATACTGCCTAAAGAATGCTCCCTTAGTTACACAAAGAGGAGTTCTGGTGTGATCTATCTAGTGAATTCTTTCAAATTCTTAGCTAAGTTCCCTCGGACTCCTCAGTTTCCATCTCTAGACAATGCAAATTATTTCAGTCAAATAAGTGAACAATTATTTTTGTGATGATTTAATGTCTGTTTGGCCCACTTATTGGTGTAAAGGTGCATCTTATGCCAATTTTCTACATTGCATCCTCTGCGCATAGCAATGCTTGATGCACACTAGACCCTCAATTTTAATGAGTTAATGGGGATCTCTACAAGCCTTTAGACTCCACAGAGTATTAACTTACGAAGTAAGCTTTGATGTCTGTCCATAATAATTAATTATCCTGTTGAGTTTACTCACAGCTGCAGATTAATATGTCATAAATGTACCAGGGTAAAAATATATACATTTTAAAAGACACTGTGTAGATCAATCTGTTCTTATCAGCCATCCATGCCCAAGACGAAGCGAGAGCTCTAAGAGTTTTGTGTTTAGACTTCTGTGAAATGCTACCAGCATACAGCTCTACCGGCAGCACCAAAAGTGAGGAAGAGAGTTATCCAGAAATAGATATTGTTGAATAATCATAAGGTCACAGTGCATATAAGACAATACTCGCAAATAATAATAAAGTTTTTTATAGTCAGAGAGCTGTGAGTTAACGATAATTAGTGTGAAAGTGTTTAAGTCTCTACTGATGGATTAAACACTGAAATAATTCTTAAATTTCTATGTCATCGGTAGCTCTTTGCATAAAGTCTAACTCTTCAAAAATTAAAAACAGAAAGTTAGATAATCTAACTTTATGAAAGAGAGAAATGAATAGTCCGTTCAACTAGAATCCAAACTAAAACAGGGTGAAGATCAACCTATGGGACGGAGTTCTGAAAAAACCTGGTAAGATAGCAGGTTTTAAAACTGTTTCTATGCCTAATTTTGATAATTATTAACTGTTGCTAAGTGACGACACTGAGGTAATGATAAGAAGTTCATCCCTGGTGTGATCAATGTGATTATACTCTGTTCCATGCACACATGATCCTGAAAATGGAACATTGAAGAGTCTGTAGTAGGGACCTTGCAAACCCAGTGTTCAAATGAAACTTGCAAGCAATATTAATAGCGGATGAGGAATTCTCCATCTTGTATACTAGTGGTACTTTTATGATATCTCAGGGAGCCTTAAAATCCCGTGCAGGTAAGCCGGGCGTGGTGGAGGTAGGCCGGGCGTGGTGGCTCACGCCTGTAATCCCAGCACTTTGGGAGGCCGAGGCAGGCAGATCACGAGGTCAGGAGATCGAGACCATCCTGGACGACACGGTGAAACCTTGTCTCTACTAAAAAATATATAAAAAATTAGCCGGGCGTGGTGGCACGCGCCTGTAATCCCAGCTATTCGGGAGGCCGAGGCAGCAGAATCGCTTGAACCCAGAAGTTGGAGGTTGCAGTGAGCCAAGATCACCACTGCACTCCAGCCTGGTGACAGAGTGAGACTCCATCTCAAAAAAAAAAAAAAAAAAAAAAAAGAAAAGAAATAGAAAAAGAAAAAAAAGAAAAAGAAAATTCCATACAGGTAAAGACTTCATGAGGGTATGACAAAGATGACGTCACGGGTACAGTTTTACTTCTCTCAACTTCGTCCAGAGGAGCTCCAAAACGTTCAATTAATTATAAACTTAGTCTAATTGATAATGTTCTGCATATTGGTCTAACGTCTTTAATACTGTATCCATTAAGTTTAAATAGGCATTCTTGAGCACCCTGCTCCAAAGCTTAAAACAACATCTGCATTAATTTTCAGCATCAGGACATCTAGGTGTCAAAACACTAGCGTAGGCTGTGGACACATAAGCCTTTGGTTTCTTTTGTCACTGGTAGTCATATGAAGGCTTCAGAGGAATAAAAGTTCTTCTGCATCATACTATACCACAATTCTATGTTTATTAACCAAATAAATCGAGAAACAGTGGCATTAGACACAAGGGCTGCAGAATAAAAATCATCAATAACCTGACCTGAGACTCAGGAAGTCGCTTGGCACTGAAGAGATGCTCTCCATGAAGTGTTTCCACTGGACTCGTCAGATGCATAAAATGAGGACCAGTACCCAGCTCAACAAGGCCTTGTTGAAACAGGGCGTCACATCCTAAGAAGCAAAAACAAACGGGTCTTTAAATCACAACATCAGAACCAATATAGAGCCCCACTTCTCAAATGTTAATGTGCACAGCTGTCGTGAGATCTTGTTCTGATGCAGATTCTGATGTAATAGGTCTGGAGTGAGCTTGGAGGCCAAGATTTCTACATTTCTAACAACTTCCCAGGCAATGCTGAGGATAGCCAGCCAGGGCCCACACTTTGAGTAACCAGGCTGTGGAGAGCTAGGAAGCTGTCCCAGAAGGCAAATTGTTCTGGTTAGCAGCTCTAAAGGGTAAATTGCTCTTTTAAAGGAAAGCCTTCACACTGATCATTGTATCTACAAGCAGAACTGTAAACTAAGATGGCCCTTTCAAACAACTTAATCACAATTCAATGGCAACATTTTGTCACCTGTCATTCTCCTAAAAATCCTGATTTCTATGGTCATCACCATCAGCACCTTTGAATACAAGAGTACTGGTATATCAGAGAGCCCAGATTATAAAATTCAATTTATTTCAACTTTAAAGGAATGAGCATGCGGTAGTGAGATGGCCATGCTTTCATCAAAGAGTTCTGAAACAATCCTGCAAAAATGCAAGGCTATATTATGTTGATCAATCAGTTGTAGATGCAGTCATTTCATTTGGAGAAACAGCCATCTTTCTGGTGCTGTTACAAAAAGTATGGAAGGTACTGACCCATTCTGAAGCTTGGACATAAAAAGGACCGTATATATGATGAATAATGGTAGGAAAAAATCACCTATAGAAAAGAATGGAATGTCAAGTTCTCTCTGTAATGGTATGATGCTTGATTTCAAGTGAATTTAGCCAATAAAGTCCATGCCCTTAAGAAGTTTATAATCTAAGATCTAAAGGGGCAGAGTCCTGCCTTCACTTTCCAAAGAAATAAAGAATTCAAATTCTTTGTCACAGAGAACATTGATGACACAGCTTAGGGGACTTTGCAAGAAAGTAAAGCAAGATTAAATTTCCTTATGAAGAGATCAGTAAACATAATTCTATCACCCTGTCCGCTCAATCAGAAAATCGTTGCTCCCTTTAATCTTCATCACTGATTCTGACCAGCAAAACTGGAATACCTTGGTGGCAAATACTCTGTATCGACAGAGGAAAAACCAGTTGTGCTTTTGGAATTTTAGATGTTCCTATGAAAGACATCTGGAACTTATCACATTCTATTGCTTTAAAGATTAACTTGGGTGAAAATATCAGGCAACATGTACAGCTGGTAGACCATGACTCAAATGGTAGGAAACTCTGCAATGCACCCCTGCAGCTCCACTCCAAATGGCAAAGTGGAAAGAGGGTGGAGGTGGCAGCTATGGGTCCCTTCAGCATCAACACTTCTGCTGCATTTCTTGAAAACAAAAGCAGGCTGGGGAAATAGGTAGGGTAAGACAGGAGTGGCATCATAAGAGTGATTATTCAAACACTCACTAATCAGACCACATTATGGAGAACAAAGTTATTTCCAACCTCCAGTCAGTTTAAACAATACTGATTATGAAACAAACTTATAGTACAAGCGATAACATATTGTGTTTAGCTTAATATGCAGGTTTTACCCTACATATACTTCTTTAAAAAAAAAATCTTTCAGGGAGAAATATGTGATGATCATTTCTCTGTATAAACCAGTATTTCCCCCTGCCCCGGAAAATGGCATCTATAAGAAGCAGGAAATTATTCATTAGAAATGTAAAAGAATGGCTTAAGGAAAAGCAACTGAATGGATCACATCTGGGAAAGAAAGTTTCTCTTATCTCTCCTTGCCCAGCCTGTCCAGGCATTATTACCCAATTACGTCTCTTAGATTTCTCTCCTGACGCTCATAAAAGACTCCTAGTTTAAATTCAAACATTTAATTTGATATGTCTCTGTATATTTACTTCAATATTAAAAGGTTTTGGGCTTAAAGTACAAATAATATTTATATAATACCTTATATCCAAGAGTCTAATATCTTTTACATGTCAAATAAATGTGACATGGAGTACTATTAGTGTGAAAAACTGTACTTCCCTTCTCCTTAAACTCAGGATGATTACCGTAATTATTTCAGCTGAACCAGGATGGACATAACACTTCACTGAAGACCTGGTGTAACTTGAATTTTTATCTCCCCTTTGAAAAAAATGACGTTACAATATAATGAGATGGGATATAATGGAGAGACTCTGCTTCACTCATTTTACACTACATCTGATCCTGTTGACAATGAAATTCCTAGCCTGGATGTTAAATTCACTGCCTTGTGTTTTCACCAGGTTCTTTAAAATTTTTTGATACTTGACTATCAACTTCTGACTTTCCATGTTACCATATTCCCACATGCTTATTTCTTCTCTGTTTAACCACTAATTTCTGATGACTGTGGTCCTACAAGTCCCATTGCGCGACTATGTTTAATTGACTCTTGCATGCCTGTCTTGCCTTTGATTCTTTGCTTTTCTTGACCTTGACTTTCATCACATGCAGAGGTCTGACTCCCAAAGCTCAAGGACTCCTTTCTCTATACCCAATTTGGGCACCAGCACGTTGGCCTTATCCTCTGCGTCACAGTTTGTAAATCCACATTTATCCATGGCGCTGGCAAAAAACAGAAGCTTGGAATACATGTATCAGCAAGAAAATCACACAATAAAGAATTTGTAATCAAAAGTGATAGAATGGCAAAGTAAAGATAATATAGGAATCATAAACAATGGAAGCAGGAAATACACTGCTTAGTTCATTTCCACTCTAAGTCCACCCTAGATGATTTTCAAATCGAGCCACTGTTTTTACTAATTCAGGATGGTGAATAAAGTTTTACTTTATACACAGAAGACAATGACGATGCTCAAATGATTTGTCCCAAATTAGTTCAGTCACTGCAATCATATGAAGCCAAAACAATGGATTTTCTGAATGTTAAACTAGCATCAAGCATTCATCAGTGTAATTTGCTGGGCTGCATTTAGATAAAGCTGAGTAGATCTTTATGATTGTCTCCAATGCACAGAGTATGGCAGGATACAATTATTCTCTCTACCAAGAGAGTATGTTTCTGTCATGTCAAATTACTAACCTTCTGCAGGGATGAACTTCTCTAGAAAGCTTGAAAAGCATTTCTACTTCTATATGGCACTGAATTTTTATCATAAAAAGATAAGGGAAGTTTTTTTATCTTCTTTCAGAAAAGTCTATTACAGTACTCAATGCTATGATTAGAGAGATGGTGACTTAAATCTCTTGAATATCAAAAGAGAGGAAGACAGCCTTTGGCCATAATCACTGCTTAGCTGCTTTGGTTAAACAGGAAACTCAGAAGGATTCCTCTCATTTTAGCTTTTGGGTTAGGAAAGAAAATCTTTGATCTTATGTACCTGCCTCAGACTTCTTGGTATATTATGGACATTTTTACTTCACTATGTAAACCAGACAGGAGGTTTTCAGAGATGCAGAAAGATAACTGCATCTTTCTGTGGAATGTTAGAGGAACTTTATATTTCATATCCAGGAAGGAGTTTGGTTGATAATCCAATTCCTGTGTTTCCATCAATGTCATATGCACTTTCTCCTGACTACATATTAACCAGACAATGTGTTGTATCTCATGATATCTGATTAAAATAATGTGAACACTTCTATTTAACAATAATAGTTTCAATTGATTCCTTCAATATTGGTTACATTTTACTCTATAATTTTTAAAAAAAAATGTATTCTGGCTCCACCATTTGTACATAAACTGAAAATGTGAAGATCATTCAAAGCAGCATGGAAGAGGAAATAATTGAGGTTAATACGGGAGTCCTGCAAATAAGTTTTCTCCTCATTAAGTAGAAAGATCTACAACAGGTTAAATGGACATATCATGAATACCCTTTTGGAAAAATCTATCCTAAAAAAATAAATACTACCTGTATTAGCCTGTTCTCACACTGCTAATAAAGACATACCCAAGACTGAGTAATTTATAAAAGAAAGAGTTTTAATGGACTCACAGGTCAGCATGGCTGGAGAGGCCTCACAATCATGGCAGAAGGTGAAGGGAGAGCAAAGGCCCATCTTACATGGTGGCAGGCAAGAGAGCATGTTCAAGGGAGCTGCCCTTTATGAAACCATCAGATCTTGTGAGGCTTATTCACTATCATGAGAACAGCACAGGAAAGCCTGCCCCCAGGATTCAATTACCTCCCACCAGGTGTCTCCCATGATATGTGGGGATTATGGGTGCCACAGTTCAAGATGAGATTTGGATGGGGACACAGCCAAACTGTATCACTTGAATGCAACAATGCAGCTAATTAATAGACAGGACAATTTTGAGATTAACCTGCTGATTTAAACATATTTTAAAATATATATTTAAATCACTAGTCAAGATGCATGAAAATGACCTGTGATGACATATAAATAACAAGCACTCAGTGGGCAAGCACCAGTCATCTGTATTATAAATGCCCCACAACTTACCCCGGCAGCAGAGACCCAATGAAATGTTAGTTTAATTTTAAATGAATGAGTTAATTAATTAGTAGTCACTTATATTTTGATTGAAATAGGCAAACTATTTATCCTGTAACTGGGGAGAAATTTCTTAGTTATCTAACTTAGACTTCAGTAAGTTATCCAAGTGAAACTGAAGAGAGCTTGAAAAAGCTGTTAAGTTGTCAGTGCATATGTTCTCAGAATCACAGCTACAGATGGCTTTACTGCTATTTCAGTTGGTGAGGAGACCACTATCAAAGAAGATATTATAGCCTCAAGGCTCTATTCAGTTTCAGGCTTTGTTTATTTGTTTTTACTTGTTATTGTTTTTCCAACAAAAAAATTAATTCATTTATACCATATAAATGAAAACATACAGAAAAACAATAGTAAGAAAATAAAAATCACCCACAACACTACCACTGAGATTTCCCTCTCAGCAATTTATTATAATCTGCCAAGTTATTATTCTATTTATTGTCATTTTATTTTTTTCAGAAAGAGATCATACAGTACTCACTGATTTAAAATATGCCTTTTATATGGCGAAAATACATCTTATAAAACATTACTCTTCAACATAATTTGAACTGACTACATAATATTCCATGGGTAGGTGTGTTGTTAAATTTTAAAAAATTTCTTTTGATGGACCTAAGGTTATCTCAATTTTCTGACAAAAGAATAAGACTAAAAACCTGAAAATATCTTTACTTTTTTAGGCTGACTTTACATAAATAGAGTTGCTTGGTCAATAATTTTGGTCAAAAATTTTGGATCAATTTGCCATCTTTTTAGATGTTCATAACATTGTATTTTTCACCTCACTGTCATTGATAATGTCTATTATCATTCATTCTTATCATTCTCAATTTGACTAATCATTTCCATTGTGGTGAACATAAAAATGTTTTTGTATGTTCATCAGTCTTTCTGTTTCTTCCACAAGGAAACTGCTATTTGTAGTCTTTAATCATTATTTCTATTGATTCATATTAATTTTTCTTATTTGATTCATGAAGGTGTTTAAACATTAAAGATATGAATGTATGCTTGTCTTATACATACAAATT
This sequence comes from Homo sapiens, assembly GCF_000001405.40. Lineage (NCBI taxonomy): Eukaryota > Metazoa > Chordata > Mammalia > Primates > Hominidae > Homo > Homo sapiens. The sequence continues at coordinate 164,906,390 of NC_000006.12, forward strand.
ATTTTTACATTTAAAATTTTTCATCTACAGTTTCTTATGATAAATCATGCGCCCAAGAAACATTAAGACATTCTCTTAGCCATTGAACATTATCAGTTTTGAACCATTGAGATTTGTGTTAATTATAATGTTTACAATATAATTTGAGATAACTGAGGACCTATCACAAAATGCAAGGCGGCCTTTTAAGGAGCTGTGAAAGTAGATATTTTGCAGTAAGAAAGACCAATAAATTTCTACATATTCTTTTGTTCATTCATTCAATTAAAGTATTGAACCACTGATAAGTGCCAGGTGCCACATTAAACAATAGAGGTATTTGAGGAACCTTCCCTGTATTTTGGAGCTGACAAAATGCCAAATTAGCTTTTATTATATGCTTCTGAATTGCACAAGTATCAACCATCTAGCAAATAAACATAAGTGAAATTAGAAAATTCATCAAATTCTATCAATGTTCACCATGAATGCTACTGGTGAGATATATATCATGTAAATACATATCAGACTTATTTCTTTACTCTTTCATATGGTTGTACCATAATGTTTTGCTTCTGAATTTCTGCCAATTATGCATCAGGAGCCAAGAAACCTTTTACAAAATTGCACAATATGGCTTGAGAAAAAGACTTTATTGGAGAAAAAGAAAACCCACTATACCAAAGGCAGTCCCCTTCTCTCCCATCATCACACAGGGAGGCAAGCTAGGGCCAGGCTATTGCTCTGGAAGGGCAAGTCCCCATGGTAATCTGGCCTCCTGTGGGATGAGCATAGTGATGCAAACTTCTCAATGGGGGCAGGCACGGGCTGCCTGGCACCCCAAGAAGTCTGGATGTGGGTGCCAATGCTTTAGAAGAGTTATCTAGGAAACCCAACTGCTCAAGCAGCTTGGAAACAGAAAGTCTGTGGGAAGGACCATCTCCAGTATTGGGGGGAAAATGCCATCACTCTCCTACCACTACAGGAAGGAGGAACTCTCAGTTCTAGTTAGTTCATTGCCCAGAAAACCCAGAATGAGCCTTTAGATATTTTTTGGACACTCTTGCTCATGGCAGTACACTTATTATGACATATTATAATAGTCAAGGATCTCATTAAAGGTCACAGTGGCAGGTTATATTTTCCATGAAGACCTCAAAGGGTCTCCTATTAATTCCTTCCTATACTGTGACTTGGACACCCTTACCATCAAGTGCACCCTGAGTGGGATTGTGGCTACTGTGAAAGTGACACTATGTGATTTTCGAGGCTAGGCAATGGACATTCTCTGCCAGATCCACTTGATACACTTGTTCTTGGAAGCCATTCACCATGAGATGAGAAGCAGAGAGGCTACATGGAGCATTTATGCATAGGTGTTCTTACAGATGGCACACTGAACTGCCAGGTGACGCCCAGTACCGACCTGCAGACATGTGAGTGAAACTCAAAGTGACCTCAGCCCAGCCACTGCAAGAGAGACACCAAGCAAGAACCATCTTTTAGAGTCTAGCTGTGGTCCAAAATCATGAGAGTTAATAATAAAATGATTGTTGCTTTTTAAAGCTACTCTGTTATGGAAGCACTTATTATGCCCCAATAGACAACTAGAACATATATTTTTCTGGACCTTAACCAACAGTTAAGTGAAAGTGTCTTTCATTTAACAATTCTGCACTTCTTTTTAGTTCCAATAAATATATTCTATGGTCCTAGGTAAATTCAGAGGGATAATGAATATTTCTTTCTTTACCAATAACTATCGATTTGATTGAAACTAGAGGATTCCAAGGGAAGTGCATGTCCAATAACTGTATCAATTGTCAGAATCAATGTGTATTGATCAAAAGAAAAACGAATTGAAGGAATACACAATCTTCCATAATTGCTAAATGCATTAAGATATTTCACATTCTAAGTGAATTTTAAGATTTAACTATAATGGCACCTTTATGTCAGGCCAAGATGGACTCAACAAGACTAGATTTTACCCTCTGCCTGAAACAAGCTAAACAAACAAATAGACAAAATACATGAAACAATTACCTTCGAGAGACTGGACATCATGCCATTAAAGACAGTGATCCCTAGTATATTGGAAACAACTGAGGTGAGCCCAATAACCACCACAGTTTTTTGCCTTCAAAAGTTTTCAGGGAACAGCACAGAGAAGAGGAAATTAGGTGAAATTTTGTGGTTCTGTGATTTGAGGTGCCAGAGTAAAAGCTTTGGGGGGACCAAGCTGTCTAGAAATCACAGGACTGCATATTGGAGATGAGAGACCTAGAGAGAGAGAGAGAGACTAAGATAGAGACTGAGAGAGAGAGATCCTGATCGTTGCAGAGGGTCCCTCTCAAGTTTTTAGCAGAGTATCAATCAGTGCATTTATATGACAAAAAGTATCTGATGCTGAGAAAGAAATCATTTAAAATGACCAAAATGAACAGGGAAAATACTAAAAGCAGACAGAGAAAAAAATACACATTGTGTAGAGAGGAACAAAGTTAAAGATAATAGGAGATTCTCATTGGAAACAATGCAAGTGAGAAGAGAATGGAGCGACATCTTTAAAGTACTGAAAGAAAAAAGCCTGTCAACCTAGAACTCCATATGTAGAAAAAAATCTTTAAAAACAAAATGAAAAACCAAGACATTTTCAGACATGCTGCAAATATTAAAATAAGCCAATAAAGGGGATACTGTGGAATTATAAACCATGCTCTATTACTCCAAAAGAAAGAAAAAAGGAGAAAATGGTAACGAAGAACAAACAGGATAGATTAAAAAGAAATATGATGATATAATTGCATATATCAATAGTCACATTGAAATATAAATGGTCTAAATATTTCAATTAAAAAGGATTGCCAAACTGGATTTAAAAAGCAAGACCAAACTATGTGTTGCCTACAAGAAATGTACTTTAAAAATAAAGAAAAATGGTTAAAAGGAAAAGCATGGGAGAAGATATAATCATGCTAACCCTAGTCAAAAAGAGATCTGATAGACTATATTAATACCAAACAAGGATTTCAAATTAAAGTACATTACCAGAAATACGTCAGATATGTTTATAACCATAAGAAAGTAAATTACTGAAAAAGATATCACAATCCTAAATATTTATGTACCTAATAGCAGAATATATTCTATTTGAACTATTCAAAAATATTAAAGTGGAGGAAATTCTTTCCAATCCCTTTGGTAGGGCCAGAAACCAGAAACCTGATACCAAAACCAGAAAAACAGGCATTACCAGATAAGAAAAGAATAGTCTGATATCCCCCATAAACATAAATGCTAAAATCCTTAACAAAATTTAGCTAATTGGTCCAAACATACATAAAAAGAAAATACATTATGGGAAAATGTGGTTCACTATAGCAATAAATGGTTGGTTTACTATTCAGAAGTCTATCAATGTAATTCAATATATTAAAAAAATTAAAAAAATAAACATGATCATCTCAATAAGTGCATAAAAGTATCTGACAAAAATCCAACATCCATTTGTGGAAAGTGCTCTCAGCAAAGTAGAAAAAGAAGAATATGGTAAAACTTCCTCAACCTGATAAAGGTCATTTACAAAATTTGAAAGTGATATTACAGTTAATGGTGAAAGAATGAATGATTTTCCCTAAGATCAGAATTAGACAAGAATGTTTTCTCTCTCAACCACTACTTAGCGTTATACTGAGATCATAGCCAGTGCAATCAGCCAAGAAATAGAAATAAAGGTCATCCTCCTAAGAAGAAAAAAAACTATCTTACATTGTAGATTACAACATCATCCGCAAAAGAAATCTGATAGACTGTAAAAGAAGGTATAATACTAGATCTAATAAGTGAGTTTACCAAGTTGCAGGGTAGAAAATTCTACAAAACTATTTTGTATTTCTATAGGCAGTTGACCCTTGGGCAACATGGATTTAGACTGTGCAGGTCCATGTATATAGCAGATTTTTTTTCAATTAAACTTGGATCTGGAACACAGTATTCACAGGAAGGGAAACCTACCATGTGAAAGGCAGACTTTTTGTATACGCAGCTTCACAGGGCTGACTGTAGGACCTCAGTGGACATGGATTTTGGTTTTGGGGAGTAACCTGGAACCAATCTTTTGCATATACCAAGAAACAACTGTACTTGCAATAAACCAATGGCAATTGAAATAAATAAAATTCCATGTACAATAGCATTAAAAAATGTTAAGCAATGAATTTGACAAAAATACAAGAAGTCCAAACACTGAAAACTACAAAACATTGCTGAAAGAAATTTAAGGCCTAAATAAAATATTTCACGTACGTGGTTTGGATGACTCAATAAAGCTAAGATGTCAATTCTCCCCCAAAATGATCAATAGGATTAATGCAATTTTGATTAAAATCCCAGCAGGACTTTTTTTTTTTTATCAAAACTGACAAATAAACAAACAAAGTAGATATAAGGGAAGTTCATATGCAAATGCAGGCATGCCTGAAGTCTTAAAGAATGGAGCTTCAATGCTTGAACCTCATTTTCTCTGTGGAAAATAGTTGCAAATGTAAGAGAATATGCACATCTGAGTTACAAAAAGTTAGACATTATGTAGATTATAGTAATAAATGTGGCAATATTATTGAGGAAAACAGTTTTCTAATGTAAAGCCAGCATTTGGGGGAAGATAGAAGAGAGAAAATGCAGGAAGTATTTTTAGAAAGTCAAAATGAAGAACAACACAGAAAATGTCTGTACCCAAAGGAGGGTGCATATAAATAATTCCATGATTACCCATAATTTGGGGTTTTGGTACAAAGTCTTTCCCTTCTATTCTCTCTAATCTTCATAAGAAATCAGATAAACTGAATTCCATTTTCTGCAGGCAGAATACTGGCATTTACTTGCATCGTCTCATGGTCAGAGCTAACTTATCATGATCTCAGCCATGTGCCAGTCATGCTGTAGGTCAAAAGGAAGTGAATAAAAGAAGACAGAAGTATCTCAAAGAGATTGTATGGCAAGAAAGAGTTTTTAAAGGAGAGTAAGATACTATCCTCCTTCACATGACTAGCTCCTGGTTTTCAAAACCCCTGCTTTTTTTTTTTTTTTTTTCTTTCGCTTTCAATATCATGATCAGGGATCTTATTCATAACACTGACTTTGTGTACACACTCTACTCTGTCACTTCTTGTATTCCTTTATCGTTGTTTATTTTATCTGCAGTAGCTAAGATAATGTAGGTACTCAAGTATTTTCAACCCTTTGGTTGAATTCCCCAATGGAGCAACGAGATTATGAAGTGACTAGATGATTCAGTTGAATTAAAAAAGAATATTTGGCTGTGGATTTGATCAAAATGCTTACACAACTTTATCATCATTTAAATACCATTCTCAAAATGGCAATTGGTAGAAGTGTTTATGTTGTGAGAATCCTAGAAAATCAAAGGAGGGAGTTACTGAAGTGAGAGTGGTCAGCAAAAGTGTGTCAAGTAATTCAAGTTGCCCAGATCTTGGTATTCTAATTTAAAAAGAAAAGAAGAAGAACTCCAGAGATTTCAAGGCAAAAGTGACAATTAGTGGTAGCAACACCTTTGGGAATTTACTGCCTAAAATCTCCTCTTTTGAAGCCCGTGTCTCTCTCTGCATAATAAAAGTGTACTCTGCAGCTCCTCCCCTGACCACCATGGGCAGGCCCTCAGAAGCTTATTCTGAATCAGATCACAGGGTTGTACACGATCTGAATGTAGCCGTCAGCTACGGACTACAGGACTTCTGCAGGAAAAAAAAAAAAAACTGTGTCAAATAGGCGGATTCAAGGTAAAGAAATGGCTGTCTTCCTTCCCTTGTCCCAAAAAAGTATTTTCTTTTCTTTTCCAGTTTTGATCATTAGGTTAATCTACTGGAAAATTAATATGTGTTCTATATTTCAAGTATAGAAAAATGACCTTTTTTAGTTGTTCACAGCTGCAACTGTGAGAAGCTGAAATTAATATTGTTGCTAAATGTGGCCATGAGCTGGAAAAATGCCAGTGCTTCTATATAAGGGCACAAAGCCTCCTCTCTTGGAAAAGAGTGTGGCAGCTGCTCAATCCATTTCCCCAAAGGACAAGTGAATTTTAAAGTGACTCCCCACAATTTGAGCACGTAAACATTTTGTGTGAATCTCCATTATCCTTAATATGTACCTGTGAACTTTGGGGATAGACAAACAGGTCTGTACTCATTATGCTTCCTGAGAGTTGAATTGCCAGCCAAGACTCTACCTGAGTTGAACAGAAAAACCAGACCACACTGGAAACTTGAATATCTACGCACCTGCACAAAAGAACACATCTGTGATTCTGCAGGATAGAGCACACCTGGCCCACACAGTATAGTACACCTGGGATTATGTTTAACATAGCACACCTGGGACTATGCACACCTGGGAGCATGCACACTATAATAGGCTTTGCAATCAGCACAACATAGCCTACCTGGGAAGCTGATCACTTTGGAATCTGAAGACCTAGGAACCAAAAGCCATAGCACACCTGGGAGCCTGTATACCCTAGCACACCTGGGAACTTACACCACTGGGAAACTGCACACCATAGCATACCTGGAAACATGCACAATTGAGCCCCTGTACACCTGAAAACCTGAACACCATAGAATATCTGGGAGCATATACAACGAAGCGCACCTGGGAAGCTGCTCAGCATCACACACATGGACACTATGGCACACTATAGCACACCTCTGAATTTGCACACCTAGGGGCTGATCCTTCCCCCGTTACTCCAGGAGCCTTGCCAACAGTGATGAACTGAGGAGACTTTGTTCACTCACTTCATCAAGGAGAATTAGATTTAGCCAGAAAAGTAGACAACTGGCCACAAGTTTGGGTCCGTACATTTCTCTGCAATGAAAGGCATGGGTCAGGAGAGGGAACGGTATTAAATATCTCCTGTATTCCCTGAAAAAGAGCAGAACAAGTCCCTCAGATATCAACCAAGGAGGGATTAGAGTGCCAATTCTCTCTAAGTCCCCCTTGGTCGATCATACACAGTGCATAGTACATAGATACCCTGATTCCAAAGTGTCTGATTTCACATCAGCACTTAACTAATTTTAATCATCATCTCTCTTCCAAATGTAATTATGCATCCTAGACTTCCTTTCCCTTTTTAAAAAATATTCCTTCTCAGTAGACCCCACAGCATCCCTGCCCTGACCCCGCATGCCTTCCACCCCCACCTCCTGTCAGCACGTGCTGCACCAGCAGCCATACCCCACAATGGAACAGCTGACCGCACTGGGGCCTTTCCGCAACTGCATGGTGGAGATTGTTTTTAACCTGTATATGTAAGGTTTGCATGTAGAGTGCAAGGGCACGCACGACTGGTAGTGAGCAAGTACAACTTGGTGTGATTCTGTTGGTAAAGAGCGGCCACCCCAAGCTCCCCTAGTCCCCTTCACTATGACTCTCCTCCTCCAAAACTGGATTGCATCATGATCCAGCCGCTGGAAAGGACACCCCTGGCCCAGTCTGGTCTGAAGAGCCTGCATCAGACCACTGCCAACATCCATCTATACAGATTTTCTGCATTCAGCCCTAGGGGTCGTTAAACATCTGAATGCTGCATAAACCCTGCCTCTGTTTCTGCATCTTTGGCTTAATCTTCACTTCTGCCCATTCACTCCAATAAGATCACCCTATCAAAATCCTCCTTTGTCCACCGCAGGCCCCAGATTCTTTCTTTCTTGTCTTAGCTGACCACCAAGCATATATTATAAACTGGTCTTCTCCTTACCTCTTGACGTCCTCTCTTTACTATGCATAATTATGCCCCAGTTAGTTGATGTTACTGGCACTTGTTCTCCTTCTAATTTGCATGACTGTCTTCTTTCTCCCCCTTAAATATTGGAATAACTCATGGTTATCTCTTCAGGCGCTTTCTCCTCTTTCACCTTGAAGCCTCTTCTTCTTCCATGACTTCAACTTCAGATTAATGACTCACAAATATCTCTCTTTAGTTCAGAATTCCCTCTAAGCCTTGGTCCTAGATGCCTATTAATATCAATTCTGATTGCTTCCAGAGCTCCTGAAATTCCACATGTTCCAAATTTATATGCCTCATTTCCTTTTCAACTTTGCTCTTTGTCCTTCGTTCCATATGGTAATGACATTCACCAAGTTATTCTAATCAGAAGCCTAGAGTTCATCTTAGTCCTTTCCCTCTCCCTTACTCTATGAATCCAAACATCAACTATGGTCCGACGATTCTTTCTCTTGAACATTATTCACAGAAGCACTCTCACAGCCTTCTTTACTGTTACAGATTATGTTCCCCAAAGTTAATACTAAGAAAAAAAATTAGGTATAAGTACTTTATGTTGGAGAAATCAGAGGTGGAAAAGAGAGACAGGGAAGGAAGGTAGCCAATAACACATGTGCGATCAATCAAGTCATCACTGTGAGTAACTGGAGGCGATTCCCAAGAGTCAAAAAGTCAAGAAAGCTGGGAGCTGTCTCCACTGTGGACTAGAAATCAAGCTCTTCTTTGGGGCAGGAAAAGCCACTGTGACATGGCTTATGGCCTTGGCTCCTCTCTCACCCATTACAGGGTTCCCATGCCCAGTGTAAGCCTTAGAGCAGGCAAAATTCACGGTCCCCTCGTCTGCCCCAGCTGCTGTTCCAGCTGTTCCAAGCCCCAGTATTGCATCTACATTGACAATGTAGATGAGACTGCTCAACAGATGCCTTCTCAATAATGCTCTTTCTCATTCTAGAGGCAAAATTGCATAGATCCTCACTTCTGCTTCTACTTTTATCTCTGGAGATGTCTATTCAAGGAGCTATGTTACTTTTTTTTTTTTTCTGCTCTGTTTCTCCCACTAGACTGTGATTCTTTCTGTGAGGGGTCCAGGGCAGAGCCATCTTTCTCTGCAGCACTGGCACAGGGCCTGCAAGTGTCTGGACCATGGCTGTGTGTGTGTGGGCGTGGGAGACTACGGAGCTGAGGAGCAAAAAAGGAAGCTATGATGTTATTTAATTTTGAAGCTTCTAGTGAGTAGCGTGTGTGTGTGTGTGTGTGTGTGTATCTGCATGCACGAATGTGGATGTGCAGAGGAAGGGTAATTAAATGTCTGATGCAATTTAGCACCATTCCTTTCCTTTCATTTTTCCGTTTTTGCTCTCTGAATTGATAGCACACAGTTGGCCTAAACCCTGTATTAAGCATTTCTGATGGTTTTGGCAGGTTTCCTGGTGAAGTACCAGATGTGCAGGTATCGGAATAGGGACTGCCAGCTTATATCCGTGGAGAAATGAGCGAGCCTATAAAATTCACACCTCTAAAATGACAAAAATAGGTATTTTATTTTTTATGAGACTATTTTCATGCGTATATGGATATTGACAAAGGGGTCAGCAAATAACTACTGAAAAGCAGGGTAAGTAGCAAGCAGTTTTAATAGACAGATATAATATCTTAGATTTGAAAGTGAATCTGATTACAGACTATATTTCTAACCATATCATTGTCACCTCTGCCACTTTCTTTTAATATACAGATTTTTTTTTGCATCTCCTTCATCACAAACATCTACACTGCTCTCCAATAGTCAACATAATATTTTTGGAAGCATAGACTTTTAGTTGGTAAAAGGCTTGGTTACAGAAAACACAGAGGGCCTGGATCTCTACTGCAACCACCTTCTTTCCACTGCCTCCTCCAACCCTGGGCCTCATGTGTCCCTGGATGAATCTCCCATGAATTCTAACTATAGGAGAGGGGATAACAACGAGCAGGAAGGAGATATTTTATTTTTATACCTGCTGCCAGTAGATTGCTACTCACATTGCTCTGTAAAAAAAAAAAAAAAAAATGTGTTTACAAATGCATCATTATACGGCAGATCTTAAGTTGCACACTATTAGCTGTTACTATTGACTATATTGTCAGAGCAGTGCTGCTGCCCGGGAAAGGTCAGGTCTTTTCATTTGTGTTTTTTATGTGATGAATAACAAATAATGAACCACATAATTTATTGGGCTACTGTGATTTCTTTCTTATATCTGCAGAATAGTTACCAGTTTTATACTTTCTTTGCTGACATCAGACACATCAGTTCATAGCTATTTCATTTTTCAATCCCAGAAAGGAGATATGATTGGGAAAATTACTGCTCAGAAGAACAACTGCAAGCAAATTATATTGCTTGTGCAAATCTTCACATGTTATCTCATGCCTTTAGCCAAAAGCTGAAAGACATGTTGGCTCTGATAACAGGAGTACAGGTCATCAATGGATCTTGGAGGTGTCAAGTAATAGCCTCTTCCATTTCCACACACATCAGGGGCTCCAGTTGGTCTGAAGATGACAAACAGAAGTACTGCACTTTCTCTACTTAGCAGTTCACTGGCTAAAGAAAGGTGTTAACCATAAGCCAGGAGAAGAAAAACAGCAATCGTAATGTGGGGCCATTAACTCTTGACCTCCTAGGGAAGCATTATGATGCCAAGGCAGGTTTAAGTCAAAACATTCTTGGCAGATAATCACCCACTCACCAGGCACGTGTGTGTGAGCCACACCTACTGCTTCCAGGAGCCACACCAGCACACCAAGACCTCTTCTCCAGCTCACAGATAGCCTGTGACTTTGGATATGGGTAAGCAGGGTGCAGGAAGTTGCTAAATCGTCATGAGGCCCTGGACTTCACAAAAAAAACAAAGCATATAATTCTGAAGGTTCTAGCAGAAGAGATCTTTGGGAACGGAAATATTAGTGAAAAGAAAATGGTCTCTCAGGGTTGTTGCAATAATTAAACAAGAATGTTACATGTGGCTATTTAAAGCAAATAACAAGTTATATTTGATTGCTTAAATATATACTCTCACTCCACCCTCTCCACATTTAAAAATTTTGATGTCACAATTTATATTTTTAAATTTTATTTCTTAAGAAATTATTATAACTCTTATTGGTTTTGATGGTTTTGTCTTTTAACATTCACACTAAATATATGAAGGACAACTGCAAGACAGCTTTGTCTTGTTCAGTATTCTTGGTTGACAGTTTTGTATTGCTTTTTTTCCTTCAGTCCGTTGAGTATATCTTCCCACTCTCTCCTGGCTTATAAAGTCTCTGTTGATGAATTCTCTGCTGGCCTTATTAGAACTCTATTATATGCTATTTGCTTCTTTTCTTTTGCTGCTTTTAGGAACCTCTCTTTGTTTTTGATTTCTGACAGATTGATTACAACATATTTTGGTGTAAGTCTTACTTGGACTGAATCTGATTAGAGACCTTTGACATTCTTGTATCTGAATATTTGTATCTCCAAATTTGGGGAGTTTTCTGCTATTATTTCTTTAGTAAGCTTTCCTTTGTTTTTCTCTTCTCTTTCAAAAACTTCTATAACTCCAATATTTGCTCTTTTGATGCTGTCCCATGCATCCCATAACCTTTCTTCATTTTATTTAATTTTTTTTTATTCTGACTATATATTTTTCAATAACCTGTATCAAGTTCACAGATTATTTCTTTTGCTTGGTCAACTCTTCTGTTTCTGTTCTCCATTGCATTTTAAAAAGTTTATCCTTTGTATTTTTTTAGCTCCAGAATGTCTATATGATTTATTAAATAATTTCAATCTTTCTGTTAAATTTCCCATTTTGGACTTTTGTTGCTTTCCTGATTTTATGAAGTTTTTTTCTCTCTATTTTCTTGAAGTTCACTGAACCACTTTAAAACAACTATATTCAATTTTTATCAGGCAGATTGTATATCTCCATTTCTTTTGGATCATCTTCTGAGAAGTTATTGTGTTCAATTGGTGATACCATGTCTCTTTGGCTTTTTATGTATTTATTGCCTTACATTATTGCCTGTGCATTTGAAGAAGTAGGAAATTATTTTAGTCTTTGTATAGGGCTTTGTCCAAGAAAGACCTTTACTTGTCAGCCTATCCAGATATTCCTGGCAGGTGGTTTGGCATAGTCTAAGAATGGGCTTGCTACTAGAATCATCAGGCAGGCTGGCCTGGTGCCTGGGTTAAGTAGGTGGATAGACCTGGCACCTGGGTTTGTGGAGTTGGGTCTGGAACCTGGGTTCAGGAGAGTGAGTCTGGATCCTTTATCCATGGAGGTCAGTCTGAAGCCTGGATCTACAGGGGCTGATCTTATAATGGGGTAATCCTTGAGCCTGAATCTGCAAGGGTAGTAACGCTCTTAGATGGGCACCAGGGTTAACTGTGATGGATCTGGCACCTGGGTCCATGGGTGCTGGTCTGGTGCTGAGCTGGGCTTCATTCCTGTGACCACTGAGATAAGCCTGAAGCCAGAGTCCGTGTACCATGTACCCAAGTTCTGAGTCCTGGTACATGCAAGCTGGCCTGGAGCCTAATTCTACAGAAGTAGTCTTGGAACCTCAGTCCACAGGGTCCAGCCTGTTACCAGGGTCTATTGAGGTAGGCCTGGACCGTGGGTCCTCTAAAGTTTGGAGCAATGAGGACTGCCCTGAATTTGGGGTCAGCCTCCAGCAAGGGCTGGCATGGAATCTGGGCCCATGAGGGCTGGTCTGGTACCTAAGACCACAGGCATTAACCCGGTGCCTGGAGCCATTAGGGCTGGCCTGGAGTCTGGAGACCGGGTCCATTGGTGTTGGCATTGAAGTGAGGGCTGGCCTGGGTCCTGAGTCTTCAGGGGCCAGCCTGGGACCTGGGAACACAGGGGTGGTCCTGGAACCTGGGTCCTTGGAGGACTTTCCAGTTCTAGACAGCTTTTTACCCTGGTCTGCTGGAGCAGGCCCGGAACCTGGGTCTGCTGGATTGTGGGGCTGCAGGGGCCAACCTGTAGTGTGGGCTGTGGGGACCTTCCTGGCCCTTGGGAGTCCTGGAGCCTGTGTCTATGGGTGTTCACCTGCTTTTTGAGGCC